>NW_025791818.1:309858-464787 GCF_000001405.40 Homo sapiens | reverse complement strand
GAAGTTGAAGAAATGGGGAGAGCCATGGTGTTTATGTCTCAGCCTCCACAACACACACGATTCCTTGGGTAATTCCAACTCTGGTGACTGGGCATAATGAAAGGACACAGTAGCACATGCAGGCACTTAAATACCCTCATTTCAGGATGTTGATGCCAAACTGTGGCTGCTGCACACCAGACAAGCTGGCTATGGGTGTCTGTGAGGAGGACCTGTGATATCCCTCCTCCCTAGGGTCTTTCTAAAACTGTATCTGGGCCTCCTTAAGATGACAACCTCCAATTTCCTTAGCTCATATACAGTAAATCCAACTTGGGTTTGTGGAAATGAAAGATCTTAAAGAAATTATGTTCTAGATTTAAAAAACAAACAAATCTCCCTACTTATTCCTTAAACATCAACACAATTGAGCTATGCAAGAGACTCAAGGGATGCCAGGGCCAGACATCCTCTCTAGATCCACCTCCCTCCCAGTTGGGGTGTCCCATCTGAAACAGCACTCATACTGGATTCCACCAGGCCCAGCTGGAGCTGGCACTGTACTTTACCTTCATCTGTCCATGTGCAATCTACTAACAAAATCAGCCTCACCATTCTTCTACCACCCAAAACTAACTTCCCAACCTGTTCTTTTCTAGGCTTTATTCTGATTATTCCTAAACACATGTAATCATACCAGGTTACATGATTTGCACCTGGACTGAGATGTATATTTCCTCAAGTCATAGCCAAATTAAATACAAAACTCACATCAATCCCTTTTCTAGCAATCCCTTTCTTCTCCCCTCCTCCCAAGTCAGCTGTACAGGCAAACTGTAGCTATTTAGAATAACTCTGAGCTGCCTGTTTCCCAACCTGGATTTCTGCAGTTTACTAAAAGTCTGGCTAAGCCCAAAGACAGTCAGAACTAGATATGTTACTAAAGCATCCTGAAAGATTTCAGACTGCCTTGTTTATTTCATTTGGCATCTCTAGTTACAGGTGTTTCAAAAGGTTGCTAATCTCTTCAAAAAACAACCTTGCTGTTAGTCCAGTGTGATTTCATTTCACGATTTTAATTGTGACTAATCAGTACGCTACTCTTGGACAATGTGACGTGGATTATTTTATGATATTGAAATGTTCTATCAATAATGTTTGGGATGAGTAGGCCAATGGCTGTTCCCTGGAGACCCTTGTAGTGATGGGAATCAAACTGGCCTTTACCCCAGGGAAGTCAAATGTGTGATAATCATACCTATAATGCTGTGTGATTACAGGAGATCACATGAAACTTTTCATGACCACTTTTTACTTCTCACAGCCACAGTGGACAAGAATGAACATGTACTAACAATCAAGTATAAAACTCAAGACTGGAAACAGCAAGACTCCATAATGGGTTACTGAGGTGAGTTATAAGATCAACCTCTTGGAGACAGTGTTAAGAATAGGGGCCAGGCACGGTGGCTCATGCCTGTAATCCCAGCATTTTGGGAGGCCAAGGTGGGTAGATCACCTGAGGTCAGGGGTTCGAGACCAGCCTGGCCAACATGGTGAAATCCCGTCTCTACTAAAAATACAAAAAATTAGCCAGGTGTGGTGGTAGGCGCCTGTAGTCCCAGCTACTCAGGAGGCTGAGGAGGGAGAATTGCTTGAATCCGGGAGGCAGAGGTTGCAGTGACCTGAAATCACGCCACTGCACTCCAGCCTGGGCGACAGAGCCAGACTCCATCTCAAAAAAAAAAAAAGAAAAAAAACCATTTAGGCAAACTAATCTAATTGCAATAGAATCTTGAGATAACAGAATAGTCTAGGGCGCTGGGTTTTTCCAACCCTTCTTGTTTTGCTTTGTTGTCAGCAGTGGGACCCTTTTCTCAGAGAGGTCTTATGCAGAACGTATAGTAAGTTAAGACAAATGTGTTCTTTTTGTTTTAGTAGTCTAAATTTAGAACTTTTACTTCTTATAAAATCAGTCCACTAATGAGAGAAAAAAATGTTATTTCGAAGGACACAAAAATTTGAAACTAGCTGAAAATGGCAGTTTGCTATAACCATTGGAATCCACCTTTGTTTGCTGGCTGCCAAGTAGCCATAAAACCCAAATTTACATAAATGAGGAACTGCAGATGGCACGTGGCTTCAACCACAGAGGCCCAGAGGAGGCTTGACTCTGAGTTCTACACCAAATACAGGGTGATTTCACGGCCCATGATAACCTCTTAGGGATCTTGAACCTATTAACATTTGATATAAACACATTTTGTCTTGATGTAATTACGTTGTTTGTTTTGTTTTGTTTTGTTTGTTTGTTTTGAGACAGAGTCTCGCTCTGTCGCCCAGGCTGGAGTGCAATGGTGTGATCTCAGCTCACTGCAACCTCCACCTCCTGGGTTCAAGTGATTCTCCTGCCTCAGCCTCCTGAGTAGCTGGGATTACAGGTGTCTGCCACCATGCCTGGCTAATTTTTTGTATTTTCAGTAGAGATGGGGTTTCACCATGTTGGCCTGGCTGGTCTCAAACTCCTGACTTCTGGTGATCCACCTGTCTCGGCCTCCCAAAGTGCTGGGATTTCACAGGTGTGAGACACCGTGCCCAGCCACATTTTTGAAGTGCAGCACTGATTAAGAATCAATCAAAGCAAACCTTTGCAGACTGATGTGAAGAATCTCCAGGAAGCCTGACAACGACCAGGCTCAACAATTTCTTCAAGTCCTCTCTCAGACTGAGACTTGCGACACTAAATCTTAGGCCTAATAAATACTGCTGCCATTTCACTAGGAAGCCCAGCCTGGTCTACTGGAGGCCACATGAAGGCAAACCAAGGTGCCCAGTTGACAGCCACCAGTTACTACCAGAGGTGTGAGCAAGGCCACCTGGGAGCATATGCTTCAAGGGGTCCCCATGTGATTGCAACTACATGCAAGAGCCCAGGGGAGACCATCCAAGAACACCCCAGCTGGGCTCAGCCGAAACCACAGTCATAAGCAAAGAAATGGTTGTTCTTTTAAACCACTGTGTTCTGATATTGTTACACAGCAATAAGTAACTGACACATCTTAAACAAAGCTATATATCTTACATAAAAAATACCCAACATTGATTAATACATGTACAAATACAATTTTTCACCCACAGGTAAATAGTATCAGCCTGTTGGTATGTACGTGTCAACTTTCTCCTTACCTGATTCTGGTTAACCTTTTCTATGTCAGCATTCACTTTGGGAGTGTCCTCTGTCAAATGAGTCCGTGCGACTTGGTCTCTCATTGGCTCGCTAACTGCTGGTTCCATTTCGAAGCAAAATATGGTCCCGTTTGTAATCAACTTTTCTTTTCTTAAAGACATAGTTAGAGACAGACATTAATGTTGCCTAAGTCAAAACATCTTTAGTTGTTAGTGTTTTGGGCAGATGCCATCCCCCCGTTCATGTTTTTACAAATAGCTGAACCATAGCGACAGCTGTTCGACAAGACACTAGGCTCCTGAGTAGCTGGGATTACAGGTGTCTGCCACCATGCCCGGCTAACGGGGCCAACGACTGGGCCTATGACTCACCACACTGTTAGATTAGAGGCGCACAGGAGGCCAGTTAAATCAGCTCACTTATCAGTGACAACATAAAAAACGTCTTTGGCATTGTAGCTTTTTCCATGGCTCTCCCACGCTTCAGTCAGCGTGGATTTCCCCTGTGGTGCTCATTAGGGTGTAGCAGTGCCCACACCTAGGGAGTCCTGCTCTGGGCCTATCACGAACTGTACGGAATTGCTCCAGTCACTTCCCTTTGCTGCAGCTCAGTTTTCCCATCAATGAAATGGGCACAAGGGCTCATGTCTAGGAGCTCAGGACATGGGATGCTGGGACGGGGGATGAGTGGAGTGCAATAGGAGACGGAGCTCTCCTGCTTGGCTAAGTTAAAGCCGCCCTGACGATGCGTGGAGGAACTTAGCATCTTGGGCCATCAGAAACCCTTGAGAAGTGATCAGAGTACAGTGGGCACCCAGCAGTTCACAGCAGGGAGACGGTAGCAATAAAATCCGACAACGTTGCCAAACAGAGGAGTATGGCTTTAGTGACAGCCCTTAGGGTGCTCCTCTCCTCAGTCACCCATGATACTGAACTGCAAACACAAAGATGCCACTTGACTATGATGTATTTGGTCTTGCATCCATGTTTTCTTGGTAGTTGCCAATTTACTTAGTCATGGCTCCCCTAACATCTGGAGATGGCAAAACCCACGACAAGACAAGAGTCTAACTTTGCTCATGAAAGGCTAGATTCACAGAACACTTCAGTGAGGAGGTGGCAGGCAGCACTGGGATTCCACCTGCTGTGATTGCTCCAATCCAACCCCACACCTCGAATTTTACACTCCTTGCCACTTTTAACGAATGGGCATGATCATGTGTCCCAGTGGGGACAGACTTTACGGGCATGTAGAAAGCCAAAATGGCCTTGAAATGGATGCAGGACCCTCAATGTCTGGAGGAGCCATTTGGGGGAACATTTTTCTGAACTCATAATGGAAGTTATTAAGAAACTGTATGTCAAAACTTGACTTGTCATGGCCATTTTTAGAATGCATTGAAGTCAATCTGTAGCTCTGTGCCTGCCCTGTCCCTCCCTTTATCCCAGAATCCCCTTCACATTGGTAGGGGCCCTGTCAACTGTTCATTCGAAAGACATGTGGCTGATATTGAACTCACTGGGACTCAATGTGTATCTAGACCAAAGCAGCTAGAGAACAAGGATTTTGGCACCTTGCACCAAAGCCTTGCCCACTGTTGCAACTTGGGCATGAAGCATAGTGCCCAGCACAAAGTGGGCACTCACATATCGGCCGGGGGTCATGAGACTACCATGTGTGGGCACACCCACCAGAGCTCCCATACTGCTCTCCATCGCATACATGCATATCCCATCTAAGGTGCAGGGGCTTCAGTGGGGCAAGTGACTGTTATTTAGTGATGATATAATCACGAATGCCCACTGCTGGCTTCTTATCCAGATTCCCCAGATATTCAGGGAAATGTGAGCAAATGAAAAGGCACATGGCATCTACAGGGGCAAGGAGATGGCTCACATCTGGCCTCTGACCCCACCAAGGCCTTATTGACCTCTGCTGGCAGGGGATCTGAGGGGCGTGTGCCTGGGGCAGTGACAGGACCGCATGACAGGCTAACTAGGCCAGCCGGGCTAAGCAAGCCCACCCCTGTGGAGTTCTGCTCTTGTAAGCCTCTGCTCACCCTCTACACATGAGAAATCACAAATCACGCCACTCCTCAGTGCAGCTGGCAATAAATTAACCCAGAGTCGGCTGCCTGGGTTCAAATCCCAGCTACTATTCCTTACCAGCAGGTAGCCCTCGGGGGAGTTATTTAAAAGAACTGAGCTTGCCTTTCCTCATATGTAAAGTAAATGGCCTCATAAGGTCATTATGAGGATTGTGTCAAATACCTGTCAACACGCCATTCAAGGCAGCTAATTTTATTATCATTGTAACACAGCTTCCTGTGCAGGAGTCTCCCTGCCTATGCCTCCTCTTGGGCTGCCTTTGGACTCTCTCCACCACTTTAGTTCTCCCCTATCTAATCTGCTGCCATGCGGTATAAGCTTGGGCAGGCAGGGGCTGTCCTATCTGTCCTGGAAACGGCTCCCAGGTCCTGCCTAAAGGCTAACTCCTGGGGTTGTCGCAACAACTAGATGCTGGCTAACAAATAAACAACCAAGGACATGCTTTGTAAAGTAGGTGTACAGCGACAGCATGGGGCAGGAGTGTAAAGAAAGACTGGGACTCGCAAGCAAACTTGGGTGGAAAGAATCATTTCCTCTTTGGCCTCATTCAATGAATAGCATAATGACTAACACCAAATGCTTCATTCAGTTCTTCTTGAACCAAAAAGTAACTTTAACTGCTCCCGTAGCCTTAAGTTTTGCATGAAAAGTAGGAAAAGAATGGGCCAATAGAGGTCCTTGGAGGCCTGGTAGGCCCTAAATCCAATGACAAGTGGTCTTATAAGAGACATACAGAGGGGAAAGGCAGGGAGAAGAGGAGGAGGCCATGTGAAGATGGAGGCAGAGGTTAGAGTGATGTGGCTACAAGCAAAGGAACACCTGGAGCCACTAGAAGGTGGAAACAATGAAGAACGAGTCTCCCCTGGATCCTTCAGAGGGAACACAACCTTGTCAACACCTTGATTTTGGACTTGTGGCCTCCAGAACTGTGAGAGACACATTTCTGCTTTTCTAAGTCACCCAGTTTGTGGTCATCTGTTACAGCAGACCCAGCAAACTATACGAGTATCCTTTGTAGTGCCGAAATCCAAATAGCAGAGCTGCCAATTCCACAAGTCCCCTTGTATGACTAGCAAAAGCAAGAAGCCTTAGAGCCTATTCCTCTCCTCGTTTGCTAGAGGAGGATGTAGGAGGTCAAAGAAGAAACATGTCTCACCCCAACGGAGCTGTACTGCTGAAACAATAATCACACAATTCTTTGCAAACCAGCCTCTTGTCAAAACAAAATCTCCTTTGTCTCAAATTATATACCAATTATTTTAAAGTTTGTAAATACTATGAGTCAGATAAGAATTTTGGTGACAGCTTAGCTGTCTCTATGGGTTGGAGTACCCAGAGCTAGCCGCGCAAATGAGTCAGATCCCATAGGCAACCCCCGTCCCCTGCCTACTCACCTAAATTCACCATGTGATATACGCTTGGGTTAAAATGTACATTGAGAATAGCTCTGACTGAATAGACATTTCTCCAAAGAAGATCTACTTTAAAGATGGCTAAAAAGCACATGAAAAGATGTTCAACAGGCTGGGCGTGGTGGATCACGCATGTAATCTCAGTACTTTGGGAGGCCGAGGCAGGTGAAACACTTGAAGTCAGGAGTTCAAGACCAGACTGGCCAACATGGTGAAACCCCGTCTCTACTAAAAATACAAAAATTAGCTGGGCGTGGTGGCACATGCGTGTAATCCCAACTACTCGGGAGGCTGAGGCAGGAGAATCACTTGAACCCGGGAGGCAGAGGTTGCAGTGAGCCAAGATGGTGCCGCCATTGCACTCCAGCCTGGGCGACAGAACAAGACTCTGTCTCAAAAAAACAAAAAACAAAAAATAAAAAACGATGCTCAACGTCACTAATCAACAGGGCAATGCAAATCAAAACCACAGTGAGGTGTCACCTTACACCCATTATTAGGATGGCTATTATCAAAAGCCAGAAAAGAGAAAATAGCAAGTGTCAGTGAGGATGTGGAGAACCTGGAACCCTCATATATTGTTCATGGGCATGTAAAATGGTGCGACGTTGTGGAAAATAGTATGGCAGCTCCTCAAAAAAATTAAACAGAGAATTACAATAGGATCCAGCAATTTCATGTCTGGGCATATACCCCCAAAAACTAAAAGCAGGGACTTGAAGAAAAATTTGTACATCCATGTTCACAGCAGCATTAATCACTACAGCCAAAAGGTAGGAGCAGCAATGTGTCCACTGACAGATGAACAGATAAACAAAATATGGTCTAGCCACACACGGGCATATTCTTCAGCCATAAAAAGGAATGAAGTTCTGAGACATGCAACAACATGCGTGAACCTCGAGAACATTATGGTCAGTGAAATAAGCTAGACACAAAAGGACAAATGCTCTGTGAGTGGGGAGTGACTGCTGATGGGAACAGACTCTCAGTGCTGCAGGAGGAAAAGAGTTCTGAAGGCGGATGGGGTGATGGTCACTCAACAATGGGAATGCATGTAATGCCACTCAACTGTCCACCTAAATATGGTGAAGATGGTACATTTTCTGTTATGTCTACTTTACCACACAGACATACAGAAGAATAGCTCTGAACTACTGAAAACAAGACTCCAAAGAGCAATGTTTTAGGGGCTGGTGGATTGTTATGGTTCACACATCAGAAGCCTCAAGTCTCTTCCTTTAAAATGTTAGTTATTTGAATCCATTAAAAACCAATATGTGCACCCACGATGTACACTGGGACAAAATCTTAAGCTAAAAATAATATAGGAAAACAGAGATATGTTGTACTGGTGAAATCCAACCACCTTGCCCCACACCACAGGCCCATGGAAGGACAAAGTTGAGCTGAGCTGCCACAGCAAAATAAGGCTAAACTGAAACCTCTAAAGAGATGTGAACTCAGTTCATTCCAAGAGGGCCGAATAGGAACAGCTCCGGTCTGCAGCTCCCAGCGTGATCGACACAGAAGATGGGTGATTTCTGCATTTCCAATGGAGGTACCTGGTTCACCTCGTTGGGACTGGTTGGACAGTGGGTGCAGCCCATGGAGGGTGAGCCAAAGCAGGGCACGGCGTTGCCTTACCCAGGAAGTGCAAGGGGTTGGGGGATTTCCCTTTCCTAGCCAAGGGAAGCCGTGACAGACTGTACCTGGAAAAACGGGACACTCCCGCTCAAATACTACACTTTTCCCACGGTCTTAGCAACTGGCAGACCAGGAGATTCTCTCCTGTGCCTGGCTCGGAGGGTCCCATGGCCATGGAGCCTTGCTCACTGCTAGTGCAGCAGTCTGAGATCCACCTGTGAGGCTGCAGCCTGGAGGGGGAGGGGCGTCCGCCATTGCTGAGGCTTGAATAGGTAAACAAAGTGGCTGAGAAGCTCGAACTGGGCAGAGCCCACCACAGCTCAGCAAGGCCTACTGCCTCTATAGACTCCACCTCTGTGGGCATGGCATAGCTGAACAAAAGGCAGCAGAAACTTTGGCAGACTTAAACGTCCTTGTCTGACAGCTCTTAAGAGAGCAGTAGTTCTCCCAGCATGGCGTTTGAGCTCTGAGAAAGGACAGACTGCTCCTCAAGTGGGTCCCTGACCCTCATGTAGCCTAACTGGAGACACCTCCCAGTAGGGGCCGACAGACACCTTATACAGGCGGGTGACCCTCTGGCACGAAGCTCCCAGAGGAAGGATCAGGCAGCAATATTTGCTGTTCTGCAGCCTCCATTGGTGATACCCAGGGAAACAGGGTTTGGAGTGGAGCTCCAGCAAATTCCAACAGACCTGCAGCTGAGTGACCTGACTGTTAGAAGGAAAACTAACAAACAGAAAGGAATAGCATCAACATCAACAGAAAGGACATCACACCAAAACCCCATCTGTAGGTTACCAACATCAAAGACCAAAGGTAGATAAAACCACAAAGATGGGGAGAAACCAGAGCAGAAAGCCTGAAAATTCTAAAAACCAGCGTGCCTCTTCTCCTCCAAAGGATCACAGCTCCTCGCCAGCAACAGAACAAAGCTGGATGGAGAATGACTTTGACAAGTTGACAGAAGTAGGCTTCAGAAGGTTGGTAATAAAAAACTTCTCTGAGCTAAAGGAACATGTTCTAACCCATCGCAAGGAAGCTAAAAACCTTGAAAAAAGGTTAGATGAATGACTAACTAGAATAAACAGTGTAGAGAAGACCTTAAATGCCCTGACGGAGCTGAAAAACCATGGCACGAGAACTTCATGACATACGCACAAGCTTCAATAGCCAAATCAATCAATTGGAAGAAAGGATATCAGTGATTGAAGATCAAATTAATGAAATAAAGTGAGAAGACAAGGTTAGAGAAAAAAAGAGTAAAAAGAAATGAACAAAGCCTCCAAATAACATGGGACTATGTGAAAAGACCAAATCTACATTTGACTGGAGTACCTGAAAGTGACAGGGAGAATGGAACCAAGTTGGAAAACACTCTGCAGGATATTATCCAGGAGAACTTCCCCAACCTAGCAAGGCAGGCCAACATTCAAATTTAGGAAATACAGAGAATGCCACAAAGATACTCCTCGAGAAGAGCAACTCCAAGACACATAATTGTCAGATTCACCAAAGTTGAAATGAAGGAAAAAATGTAAAGGGCAGCCAGAGAGAAAGGTCGGGTTACCGACAAAGGGAAGCCCATCAGACTAACAGCAGATCCCTCGGCAGAAACCCTACAAGCCAGAAGAGAGTGGGAGCCAATATTCAACATTCTTAAAGAAAAGAATTTTCAACCTAGAATTTCATATCCAGCCAAACTAAGCTTCATAAGTGAAGGAGAAATAAAATCCTTTACAGACAAACAAATGCTGGGAGATTTTGTCACCACCAGGCCTGCCTTATAAGAGCTCCTGAAGGAAGCACTAAACATGGAAAGGAACAACTGGTACCAGCCACTGCAAAAACATGACAAATTGTAAAGACTGTCAATGCTAGGAAGAAACTGCATCAATTAACGGGCAAAATAACCACCTAACATCATAATGACAGGATCAAATTCACACATAACAATATTAACCTTAAATGTAAATGGGCTAAATGCCCCAATTAAAAGACACAGACTGACAAATTGGATAAAGAGTCAAGACCCATCAGTGTGCTGTATTCAGGAGACCCATCTCACGTGCAGTGACGTACATAGGCTCAAAATAAAGGGATGAAGAGAGATCTACCAAGCAAATGGAAAGCAAAAAAAAGCAGAAGTTGCAATCCTAGTCTTTGATAAAACAGACTTTAAACCAACAAAGATCAAAAGAGACAAAGAAGGCCATTACATAATGGTAAAGGGATCCATTCAACAAGAAGAGCTAACTATCCTAAATATATATGCACCTAATACAGGAGCACCCAGATTCATAAAGCAAGTCCTTAGAGACCTACAAAGAGACTTAGACTCCCACTCAATAATAATGGGAGACTTTCACACCCCACTGTCAACATTAGACAGATCAACAAGACAGAAGGTTAACAAGGATATCCAGGAATTGAACTCAGCTCTGCACCAAGCAGACCTAATAGACATCTACAGAACTCTCCACCCCAAATCAACAGAATATACATTCTTCTCAGCACCACATCACACTTATTCCAAAATTGACCACATAGTTGGAAGTAAAGCACTCCTCAGCAAATGTAAAAGAACAGAAAGCACAACAAACCGTCTCTCAGACACAGGGCAATCAAATTAGAACTCAGGATTAAGAAACTCACTAAAAACTGCACAACTACATGAAAACTGAAAAACCTGCTCCTGAATGACTACTGGGTAAATATCGAAATGAAGGCAGAAATAAAGATGTTCTTTGAAACCAATGAGAACAAAGACACAACATACCAGAATCTCTGGAACACATTTAAAGCAGTGCGTAGAGGGAAATTTATAGCACTAAATGCCCACAAGAGAAAGCAGGAAAGATCTAAAATTGACACCCTAACATCACAATTAAAAGAACTAGAGAAACAAGAGCAAACACATTCACAAGCTAGCAGAAGGTAAGAAATAACTAAGATCAGAGCAGAACTGAAGGAGATAGAGACACAAAAAACCCTTCAAAAAAAATCAGTGAATCCAGGAGCTGGTTTTTTGAAAAGATCAATAAAATTGATAGACCGCTAGCAAGACTAATAAAGAAGAAAAGAGAGAAGAATCAAATAGACACAATAAAAAATGATATAGGAGATATCACCACCGATCCCACAGAAATACAAACTACCATCAGAGAATACTATAAACACTTCTATGCAAATAAACTAGAAAATCTAGAAGAAATGGATAAATTCCTGGACACACACATCCTCCCAAGACTAAACCAGGAAGAAGTTGAATCCCTGAACAGACCAATAACAGGCTCTGAAATTGAGGCAATAATTAATAGCCTACCAACCAAAAAAAGGCCAGGACCGGACGGATTCACAGCCGAATTCTACCAGAGGTACAAAGAGGAGCTGGTACTATTCCTTCTGAAACTATTCCACTCAATAGAAAAAGAGGGAATCCTCCCTAACTCATTTTATGAGGCCAGCATCATCCTGATACCAAAGCCTGGCAGAGACACAACAAAAAAAGAGAATTTTAGACCAATATCCCTGATGAACATCGATGCAAAAATCCTCAATAAAATACTGGCAAACTGAATCCAGTAGCATGTCAAAAAGCTTATCCACCACGATCAAGTGGGCTTCATCCTAGGGATGCAAGGCTGGTTCAACATACATAAATCAATAAATGTAATCCAGCATATAAACAGAACCAAAGACAAAAACCACATGATTATCTCAATAGATGCAGAAAAGGCCTTTGACAAAATTCAACAGCCTTTCATGCTAAAATCTCTCAATAAATTAGGTATTGATGGGACATATCTCAAAATAATAAGAGCTACTTATGACAAACCCACAGCCAATATCATACTGAATGGGTAAAAACTGGAAGCATTCCCTTTGAAAACTGGCACAAGAGAGGGGTCCCCTCTCTCACCACTCCTATTCAACATAGTGTTGGAAGTTCTGGCCAGGGCAATCAGGCAAGAGAAAGAAATAAAGGGTATTCAATTAGGAAAAGAGGAAGTCAAATTGTCCCTGTTTGCAGATGACATGATTATATATTTAGAAAACCCTATCGTTTCAGCCCAAAATCTCCTTAAGCAACTTCAGCAAAGTCTCAGGATACCAAATCAATGTGCAAAAATCACAAGCATTCCTAAACACCAATAGCAGACAAACAGAGAGCCAAATCATGAGTGAACTCCCATTCACAATTGCTTCAAAGATAATAAAATACCTAGGAATCCAACTTACAAGGGACGTGAAGGACCTCTTCAAGGAGAACTACGAACCATTGCTCAACGAAATAAAAGAGGACACAAACAAATGGAAGAACATTCCATGCTCATGAATAGGAAAAATCAATATTGTGAAACTGGCCATACTGTCCAAGGTAATTTATAGATTCAATGCCATCACCATCAAGCTACCAATGACTTTCTTCACAGAATTGGAAAAAACTACTTTAAAGTTCATATGGAACCAAAAAAGAGCCCACATAGCCAAGAGAATCCTAAGCAAAAAGAACGAAGCTGGAGGCATCATACTACTTGACTTCGAACTATACTACAAGGCTACAGTAACCAAAACAGCATGGTACTGGTACCAAAACAGAGATATAGACCAATGGAACAAAACAGAGCGCTCAGAAATAACACCACACATCTACAACCATCTGATCTTTAACAAACCTGACAAAAACAAGAAATGGGGAAAGGATTCCCTATTTAATAAATGGTGCTGGGAAAACTGGCTAGCCATATGGAGAAAGCTGAAACTGGATCCCTTCCTTACACCTTATACAAAAATTAATTCAAGATGGATTAAAGACTTAAATGTTAGACCTAAAACCATAAAAACCCTAGAAGAAAACCTAGGCAATACCATTCAGGACATAGGCATGGGCAAGGACTTCATGACTAAAACACCAGAAGCAATGGCAACAAAAGCCAAAATAAACAAATGGGATGTAATTAAACTAAAGAGTTTCTGCACATCAAAAGAAACTACCATCATAGTGAACAGGCAACCTACAGGATGGGAGAAAATGTTTGCAATCTACCCATCTGACAAAGGGCTAATATCCAGAATCTACAAAGAACTTAAACAAATTTACAAGAAAAACACAAACAACCCCATCAAAAAGTGGGCAAAGGATATGAACAGACACTTCTCATAAGAAGACATTTATGCAGCCAACAGACACACGAAAAAATGCTGATCATCACTGGCCATCAGAGAAATGCAAATCAAAACCACAATGAGATACCATCTCACACTAGTTAGAATGGCGATCTTTAAAAAGTCAGGAAACAACAGATACTGGAGAGGATGTGGAGAAATAGGAACACTTTTACACTGTTGGTGGGAGTGTAAATTAGTTCAACCATTGTGGAAGACAGTGTGGCCATTCCTCAAGGATCTAGAACTAGAAATACCATTTGACCCAGCAATCCCATTACTGGGTATATATACCCAAAGGATTATAAATCATGCTACTATAAAGACTCATGCACACATATGTTTATTGTGGCACTATTCACAATAGCAAAGGCTTGGAACCAACCCAAATGTCCAACACTGATAGACTGGATTAAGAAAATGTGGCACATATACACCATGGAATACTATGCAGCCATGAAAAATGATGAGTTCATGTCCTTTGTAGGGGCATGGATGAAGCTGGAAACTATCATTCTCAGCAAACTATCACAAGGACAGATAACCAAACACCACATGTTCTCACTCATAGGTAGGAACTGAACAATAAGAACACTTGGACACAGGGCGGGGAACATCACACACTGGGGCCTGGGGGGTGGGGGCCTGGGGGAGGGATAGCATTAGGAGATATACCTAATGTAAATGACGAGTTGATGGGTGCAGCAAACCAAGATGGCACATGTATACCTATGTAACAAACCTGCATGTTGTGCACATGTACCCTAGAACTTAAAGTATAATAATAATTAAAAAAAAAAAAAGAGAGATGTGACCTTGTAGCCACTGGCCTCACTAATCCTAATCTGAGTATTTTCTTTCCCATATCACATCTTGAAAGGGAGGCCTTACGTTTGCTCCTAGAGGACTCCTGCTTTGCTGTATTTTTTCTAAGAAACACATCCATAATGAAGGTGTGTGCCGCCTCATGTGAAGCGAGAAGAGAGAAGCGAGTTAGCCCAACCTCCTCCTTCCTGCTGGGGAACATTTCCTGGAGGGAAAAGGAGAGAACATTCTGTCTCAAACTAGGGAGAGAGATGAGAGCGTCCCGTCCTTCTAGAAAGAAGTGTGACATCTTTGTAAAGGGGAAAGGTTGTCGGAGCCCCACCCTTGCACAAGGTCCAGTGCAGGAAGCTAGAATGTGGCCACTGAGAGCTCATCCCTTCAGTCCATGGGCAGACAATGCCAGGCAAACTGCCCTTCCCCAAACACCTCAGTAGAGTTTGGCTATCCAAGGAATGCCAAGTAATGTTTCTTAGAACTTTCTTTGGAATCCTGAAATGGGGGCCTAAGCCTTGGATTATAAAAGAGGATTCCCCTATTTCCCATCACCTCATGCCTCATGCTTGGCCTCCTCTGCAGGACTGGGCCAGATGATCAGATGCAAAGAGAAGGATTCACCTGAGGCGGCACACACCTTCATTATGGACATATTTCTTAGAGAAAATACAGCAAAGCAGGAGCCCTGTAGGAACAACAATAAAGCCTCCCTTTCAGAATTCAAAGATGTGATATGGGAAAGAAAATACCCAGATTAGGATTAGTGAGGCCAATAGCTTGGAGGTCATTTCTCTTTAGAGGTGTCACTTTAGCCTTGATTATGCTGGGGCAACCCAGCTTGACCTTGTCCTTCCACGGACCTGCGGTGTCCATGTTTCCACCAGTTGTTTGTTTCTCTATTTACTTTTAGGACAAAAAAAGTCGCCAGCTTTTATTTTGTGGTAGACCTCTCAGAAACCCAGCAGCATGCCTGTGAGCTTAGCTTACGCTGTTCCTCTGCATGGAATACCTTCTCTCTCCTCTCCACGGTGAGTGCCTCCTCTTCCTTCAAGGCCTAGCTGAACTGCCCCCTCTGTGAAACTTCCTCCCCCTCCCCAGGGAAGGTGAGTCGCTTCCACAGCACCTGTTTCTGCTCTCATCCTCACACTCAGCACCCTGTAGGACACCACGAGCCCCTGGAGGCCCAGCAGACAGCCTGGAATGGAAGATGGGTTTGAGTGAATTATCGTGCTGCCGCTGGCCATGAGGCCTTATCTGTAAAACAGCGTCCTTCTTCCCTACCTCAGAGCTACTGTGAGGCTCAAACAAACCCCCAGGGTTAAAGCGGGAGCTGTAACTTGTAAAAGAACCCCCAGGTGTCACCTCATGCATTGATTTCCTCATTCACAAGTTATCAAATGCCAGCCACTACCAGGCAGAAGCTGACAAAGACACACTGCCAACCTTCAAGGAGCCCGCCATCTAGGGTGGGAGACAGGAGCAAGCAAAGAGTCACAGAAGTGCGTTTCCACTCTGATGAGGGCAAGCCCAGAGCACCAATGCAGGCTGCTGGCTCAGGGAAGCCTGCCCCAACTAGGAGATCCCTAAGCTGACTTCAAAAGGCCCCAGAAGAGTGAGTAAAACAGAGCGCATGGTGTCCTGAAAGACATTCCATGGCCAGGGTGGGAAGGACAAAGTGATGGCACAGAGCCAGCATGTTCTTATAACAGTGACAAGCTGTGTCACAGCAAGTGTGAAGCAAGATCGGGAGCAAAGTTGAGAACATGTGGGGGCTGTGTGCCAAGCTAGGGAGTTACAAGGGGGGAAAGATGGTGGAGCCCCTAGAAGTTGGAAGCAGGAGTGAGTGTTGCGACTGGAAAGATCACCTTGGCTGCAGTGCAGGGAAGAGATTTTGGACAAGTCTAAGGCTCCAGGCATGGTGGGCGGGGGGGAATGACAAGAGCAAATCAGAGACAAGAACTACATTTGACTCTTGAACAATGTGGGGGTTAGGGGCACGGAGCCCCGAAGTCAAAAATCCACATATAACTTTTGACTCACCTAAAACTTCACTAATATAGCTTACTGTTGGCTGGAAGCCTTACCAATAATGTAAACAGTTGATGAACAAATATTTTGTACATTACATGTATTACATACTGTGTCCCAGCAATAAATTAAGCTAGAGAAAAGAAAATGTTACTATGAAATCATAAGGAAGAGAAAATATATTTACTATTCACTGAGTGAAAGTGGATCATCATGGTCTCCATCCTCACGGTCTTCCTGATGAGTATGCTGAGAAGGAAGATGAGGAGGAGCTGATCCTGCTGCTCAGCGGTGGGAGAGATGAGAAAAAAATCTGCCTGTAAATGGACTCACAAGGTTCAAACCCATGTTGTTCAGGGGTCAACTGTAATACTGCCTGAAGACCTGCTCAACATCAGGCCACTTTACATATAAGTAGTTCATCCCATTGAGATGCAAAAGTATCCCATCAGGTAGACAGTACTGGTCTCACTCAACAAATGAGAAACAGGCTCAGAGAGGTTAAGCGACTTGCCCAAGGTCACACAGCCTGCACACAGCCTGCGCAGAACTTGTGTTTTTCCCTTGTACTCTGTCAGGCTTCCGATCTGCAGGTTGACGGACTGGGAAGCAAGGTATGGAGGGACATTAAGCTAGAAGGGTTACCAGGGGCAAAACTGGGCAGAGGGATCACAGGCCAGGCTAAGGAGCCCTTTACGGTTCAGGCTCTGAAGGTTTAAGAGCAGGGAGATGCCCTGACCAGGGCCGTTCACTACGAAGATTAACCTGGTAGAGCAGGGAGGACTAGCTAGGTGAGAGCTGGGAAACAGGGGAGCTACTCATCAGTTGTCTAATATGTGCCCCTCTCTGTTCTAGGTCCTGGAGTACCAGTAGTGAATACAACAAAGATGCCTGCCCTCAGACAGCCTGCCTTCTAGTGGAGGGACAACAAAGAGCAAAACAAACAAGCAAAATATACAGTAGGTCAGAAGGGGATAAGAACTGTTGGAAAAAAAAGTAGAGCAAGGTGAGTGGCTTGTTTGTACTGGGGGCTGCAATACTTAAATAGGGTGCCTAAGAGGAGGCAGGCGGAGAGGACAACTGAGACAAAGATGAGAGGCAGGAGTGTGGCTGGCACATGAGGTTCAACCACAAAGCCAGTGTTCTGGGGCTGGAGTGAGCCAGACGAGAGAAGAGTTGTGGAGCGATGGAAGGGGACACGTCGTGCCAAGCTTTGGAGATCACAGTGAGAACTCTGGCTCGTACTACTTGGGGGGATGATGATGACCCAAAAGTCAGGAATCTGTTCACTGCTGAAGAGAGAAGAGGGCAAAGGGCAGCAGCTCCATTTAAAAGGTTCTAATAAGCCTCGGGCCTTTCTCTGTCTGAGAAACTTACTCTCTGCCCTCTGTCTCCCTAGATTACTGCCCCTATGCCTGGAGGAAAAACAGGTGAAGGCTAAAAGCCACGGGGATAGCTAAAGAGGGCAAACTGGACCTCCAGCTCCACTTCTGCAGGTCTATGTCAGTCCACAGCCCTTGCACACGCTCCCTTTTAATTCTCCAAGCATACCTCTCACTTCCAAAACTCCTGTGACTCTGCTGATGAGGGCGTCTCGGCCTGGAATGCTCCTCCTTATCTGCATTGTGTGGGTGTCAAAAAGAGTATATTTTGATGACCTCTCCCCGCCCCTCATGCTCGCTCACATCCCCCTCACTCCTTTCAAAGTCCGTTCCCAAAGGCCCCAGTTCACCGTCCTGGGCTGCTTTTAGCCAGGTAAGATCTAAAGTGATCCTCTCTTGGAACCTGGTCTGGGGCCTATACATCTGGGTCAGTCTAGGGGTGCTCTCGAAGGGCCACCCTCAAAGAGCGAGCCTCGGCTGGATTCAGTTCCTAGGTCCCAGCCGTCCGACCTCTGCGACAACACTCAGCACACCCCTTCCCCTCTCCGGGTCTCAGTTGCCCCGTGAGTACAGTCCCTGCTCCAACACGCAAGGTAATCGTTTCTGGCTGCTCTGATGCACTCGGTCCCTAAACTCAGCCTTAGGTCAACCCAGAAAGCACCCGACCCGGGCGACCCCGTAGCTCCCCACCCTCCCGCACTGCCCAGTCGCTGACACAGGGTGACCTCCAATGGCAAGGCCACGACTCTTACCCGTCCGTAGGCGCCCCCCTGTCTGGCCTCAGCTCGCAAGCAGGCTGCACCCACTGAACTCCAGGCCCGGACCGCCACCCTTTACTCCCCTCCCGCGTGAGCCGAGAATCAGCCGAGCTTCCTCCACCAAGAGGATTGGCCCAGCTCGGCGACGACTCAGCCAATTGGCGCTCACGGCGTGATCTTGCCCAATAAAGACGGGGCTCTGTCGCCAGCGTGCCCCTCCCCGCGCTGGGCCGGGGCTTTGCCAGGTTAGTCCCACCCTCTTCGGCCCTGCACCAATAGGGAGAGGCGGCGACGAGCGGACGGCCAATGGGGAGCGGGGCTGCGCGCGCGGGGCGGTGGGAACGGCGCCGAGTCAGTGTACACGTCGGTTGCCTAACAACCGGCAGCGGACTCCTTTGGCTATGGTGAGTGCTGCCGCTCTGTCGCGCCCCACGCCCAGCGGCTGAGCCCTTCCCAGGCCCCAGCTCGGCCACGCCGCCTCTCCTGCGCCTTTCTCGGCTTTAGCGCACCAGTCTTTCCTTTGAGCTCTTTCCCGGGAGAGTAGGGTACAGACGCTAACCAACCTACTGGGCCTGCGCTTCGCTGCTGCCTCCTCTTCACCCACAACAGGCCCACACCCGCCCCTCGGGCTCCCCTTGCATTCCCTGATCCCCTCGGTGAACCTCCCTGGGCAAAAAAGACTCGAATCCCTCACAGGCCCCTGACTCTCTCAGACCTTGGCCCCCTGGCCTCCTCATTCTGCCAAAATTTCCACACACAGCTGGGAAAAGGTGTATCGTGTTCTGTTACAATGTTTTTTACAATTTAAATACAGGGGCATTCAGGGGATGCTTTAGCTTCTTGGAGAAGGCACGAAGGTGCCAGATGGATTGAGTTTTATTACTCGGTACTGACACAATATACATCTTAACAACTTACTAATATTTGGCCAAATCTAGAAGTAATTGGGAAGTCGGAGTACTTACTGGGAAGGGGAGTACTGGGAGTGGGCATCGTAAGACTGTTTTCAGAACCAGGATCCCCACGTTCGGGAAGAGCTGATTATCTCTAGTTATTCACAGTCATCTTCTTGACTGGCTCTCTTTTGGGATGATTTTCAGTAAGAGGTGTCCTTACTGAACAAGTGATCTCCCTGCTTCTAGAAACAACAGTAAAGAAAAGGGAGGGGTAGAAGTTCATGGAAAGATTCATTGTTCTTGCCAGTAAACCCTGTTATCTTTCTTTTTAAGCAAAGCTTTGGAATTGGTTATATAAATGACTTTAAAAATACATATGGGTGTCTGTAACTATGTTATGTAAATATGGACTGTATGATATATTATTGTGCTTGTGTATTGCATAACATATAAAGGCCTCCAACTTTAAGAAGGCAAACATGGCATCAAGTTCTCAGCGAAAAAGAATGAGCCCTAAGCCTGAGCTTACTGAAGAGCAAAAGCAGGAGATCCGGGAAGCTTTTGATCTTTTCGATGCGGATGGAACTGGCACCATAGATGTTAAAGAACTGAAGGCAAGCTCTGTGCATTCCTGCCGTACTGCCCTTCCTTTCCTCTGCCTCTTCCTTGTCATCTCCCTATCACCTCTCTACCCCTTTTGCCCTCTTCTCCCTGCAGTAAGTAACAGGGGAGGTTGTACTGTGCTGTTTTCCTGTCTTTACTTACTTTGAGTATTATTCAATAAAATTGATTGCAAATATCAATTAGATCAATGTCATAGTGTTCCCCAATCATATTAACATGACCACATCAGATGCTGGCTTAATGCTCTCAACACTGTTATTTTTGCTCCTGCTACTTTAGATGTGCTTATTGAGACGATCCTGTTTTCTTTATAGGTGGCAATGAGGGCCCTGGGCTTTGAACCCAAGAAAGAAGAAATTAAGAAAATGATAAGTGAAATTGATAAGGAAGGGACAGGAAAAATGAACTTTGGTGACTTTTTAACTGTGATGACCCAGAAAATGGTAAGTAGCTAAGACAATTATCATGGTATGGAGCCCCAGTCATCTGCAGAGGTCCATGGCGTCTTCCTGTTAAAACAGTCATGTGACCACAGAGCAGTCCAGGTAGCAACTGCATCAGGAGGCCTGCCCTCCCATCATGTTACTTTGGGCTCCCAAAACAAGCCCTTGTGCTTCTTTCTCAAGACTTCCAAGCAGATACCTCTTCCCACAGAATTCCAAATCAGTTAGGAAATAGATATGGGATAGGGAGAGATATAGCGATAGGTAGCAAACGTCACCTTGGATGGAGTGCCTGGCTTGCCTGGTGTTTCTTTGAGGCCAAAATGGGCTTCCTGACACTTGCCGCAAGTCTAGACTCGAGTTACATTGTTAAAAAGGAAAGGGTGACCTGACCAGGCAGTGGCAGGGCTACAGGACAGTAGTAACCAACCGTGGTGTCCCCCTACTCATGTGTTTTATGTTCTACTTGTTAAGTCTGAGAAAGATACTAAAGAAGAAATCCTGAAAGCTTTCAAGCTCTTTGATGATGATGAAACTGGGAAGATTTCGTTCAAAAATCTGAAACGCGTGGCCAAGGAGTTGGGTGAGAACCTGACTGATGAGGAGCTGCAGGTTTGTAATGCATCACACTGGAACTTAAAATTCCCACCTTTGAGCCCTCTGTGACTTTTCCATTACATTTTCCCTAGTGTGAGCACCTCTTTGAAGAAAAGCCAGTGTACTTTGTCCCTCTGCAGACAACTTAATTCTCCTTTAATAGTCAGACAAACCTATGAACCCTGCTTCCAGAAAAATGCACATATGCACAATTTTGCTTACTATTTTAGGTTCCAGGAATCCCTCTAGTCAAGGCAATCTTCAAGGTCCCTCCCAGGTGATATGTTTGACAAAGTATGAGTTGGTTTTCAAATAACTTTTCAGAAACCAAGCTATTATCAGGAGTAGCATACTGGCATTGGGTGGACTACAATGATCTATTCACATAGATACAAATTATCTATTCACATAGATTAAAAGTCTATTGCTTGCCAGGCACAGTGGATCATGCATATAATCCCAGTACTTTGGGAGGCTGAGGCAGGAGGATCTCTTGTGGCCAGGAATTTGAGACCAGTGTGGGCAGCATAGAGACCCCATCTCTAAAAAAAAAAAAGTCTATTACTTAGTCACCTTTTGGCATTAGTTTATAAATTAACCTGAATCTTTACTGTCATATAGGAAATGATTGATGAAGCTGATCGAGATGGAGATGGAGAGGTCAGTGAGCAAGAGTTCCTGCGCATCATGAAAAAGACCAGCCTCTATTAAGATCAGTGTCTTCTTTTTCTACTGCAAGCACATGTAACTAGATTTAGTGCCTGCCATGGTGTGAAATCTGGCTTTTGAGAACACAAACTTTTCCCCCACGGACCTCCCTTTATCACTTTAATAGTGACCTTGAGCCTATTTTAGCCGTTTGGAAGTGTTCTTTGATATTACAGTTCTTTGTAAAATGACCTGCGAATTACCCTAATTCTCAAAAGCAAAACAAGAGCACACAAGCGTGAAGAAAAGGATCTTAAAGCTTTGAGCACCTGCCATTTTGCCTTGCATCGTTTCCCTCGTCATGCATTTCCACATATCCACAAACACAGAACGACTTTAGACAAGCACATGTTACACCTGTGTTGCCACAAGCAGTCATTCTTGACGGCTCCAGTTTTTATTTGACACTTGAGTTTAGTTTTCTCTTTTATAAACCCAGTGAACTCCTGCACTGGCATTTGGATGTGTGTTAATGCTATTTGTTTTGTCTTAAAAGTAAAACCTTTCTCAGTTTGAACTTGTATTCTCTAAGGATGAGTTCTTTAGCTTTGCTTATGAGTTCCTCTTCTCAATTATTGTGTTGAAGGCAGCCTATTAGATACAAAACTCCTTACCAGCCTATGGACAGAAAATGAATAATCCTTTGCTACTTTCCTGGCATGAATTGCTTTTTGCCTTGGAAGGCTGCTGGTTTGTAAAACTAGCAGAATTTTTATATCACCTAAGCCTAAATGATGCTCTAAAAATAGTTTTGGCAAAGCTAAGACTGGAAAAGAGTCTTGTTAGTAATTTGTGCTTGAATAAAATGGGGAGAGCCAGGCTAACGCAACACTAGGATGGATTCAGCCAACCTCTCGTGAATTTATTTGCTTATGGTATCTCATCGACTCTTGGAGGTGGGTTGGGCTGAGTGACCCCATCCAACCATCTTCCTGGCCTTGCCCGGGATTCCCTGTGTGAGAAATCCTGGTAGATGACATTAAAGTCTCTGCTCCAGGGTGAGAGTGGGGAGGCAGAAGGGGTGAGGGAGAATAGAAAATGAACAATGATGGAATGCTCGTTTGTTCACATGGAGAGGGAGAAAACAGATTTTCAAACTTCTGGGGGTAGGCTAGTCCTCTGGGGATAGGGTTGCCTGATTCAGCTAATAAAAAGAAAGTTGAGGTAAATTTGCATTTCAGATCAATGATGCCTTTTTTTTAGTATGACTATATCCCATTTGTATTTTTTGTTTATTCATTGTTGATCTTAAATGCAAATTTACCTAAGCATCCTGTATTGCCACTGGTAACCCTACCCGGGGAGCACGTTACAGAGGCCAGAAGCCTGGCCCTCGGTCTCATGCCTCTGGACCCTGACATCCTGTAGGACTTGGGGGCCCAGGAATATGAAGTTTACCATATCCCCCAGATGAGTCTCATGCCGAGGGACTGCTCCTTAAGAAAAACTTGGGGGAAGAGCCCAGACTAGCCCAAACCCTGGATTCTCACACACACCCACTTCCTCATCGGGCAATTTGGGGCAAGCTACTTCTCTAGGTGCCTGGAGTTTGATGTCTGTGTGATGGGGAGAAGAGTTGTGCCTACTCAGAATCACTGGAGGTGAAATACAAACTTACAGAGAGGACCTGGCTTGAAGGTATTCAAGAACAAGAGGATTCAGAAGTGTTCAGTCTTACTCCCATTCTTTTGCTACAGTTATCACATAAGCTTTGTTGTTAAATGTGGGTCCATGAAGCTTTTATCATTACTGTCCCCAAAGTGTGTTGATAGCATTTCCTAGGAGGATTTGACCTTTGTTGTATTGTGATTTTCTAATAAGAGGCATATGATTGGATAAAAGACATAATATTGGAAAGGAGTGAAAAGACTGGGCCCTGCCTCCAATTTTACTGTTAACTGTAACCCTGGAAACACTCTTTTGAAAAAAAGTTAATTAAACGAGATCATGTCCTTTGCAGGGACATGGATGGAGCTGGAAGCCATTATCCTCAGCAAACTAACCCAGGAACAGGAAACCAAACACCACTTGTTCTCACTCGTGAGTGGGAGCTGAACAGAGAGAACACGTAGTTACAGGGAAGGGGACAATATACATAGGGGCCTGTCGGTGGCAGTGGGGGTGGGGGTGTGGGGGGAGGGAGAACATCAGGATAAATAGCTAATGCATGTGGGGCTTAACACCTAGGTGATGGGTTGATAGGTGCAGCAAACCACCGTGGCACACGTTTACCTATGCAACCAGCACGTCCTGCACATGTATCCCGGAACTTAACTTAAAAAAAAAAAAACAGTTTCAGGGATAAGGAAAAAAAAGTTAATTAAAAAGAAGTTTTGAAATTGACAACATTGTATATATTTATGGTGTACAATATGATGTTTTGAAAGATGTATACATTGTTGAATGGCTAAATTAAGCTAATGGACTATCCTGGAGACATTCTTATCTCCTCCTGCTTAATATTCCCATAAATGAAATCTCTCAGGAATCTCTTGAGACAGGACGGAGAGTGGCAAGTAATAGGTTATCCCTGAGGATAAAAGCAAACATAAGGTCTTTGCCTGGCAGCCATTCTAACATAGGTGTGCAGTTATTCAGTGGAAGGATGGGGACAGAGAGGGAGCATGAGTCAGTGGGGCTGGACCGGAGAGCTGTAAAGGGATCAGGAAGATGGGGACGGAGAGGGAGCATGAGTCAGTGGGGCTGGACCAGAGAGCTGTAAAGGGATCAGGAAGATGGGGAAGGAGAGGGAGCTGGGCTCAGTTCATGTGGAGGCAGAAAAGAGTCCTGAAGGCGGGGGAGGATGTGGATGGAGAAGTAACTGAGGTCAGTTCACGTGGGGCTGGACCAAGAGATGAAGGGAAATTGCAGAGGATAGGGACAGAGAAGTAGAAAAGATCCGTGCATGGGGTGTCCCGGAGAGGTGCAGGGGAGCAGGGGTAGGGGGAAGGGAGTGAGAGGGAGCAGGGATCAGTTCATGTGAGGATGCAGCTGAGTTTTCATGGGAGTGTCAGTGGGTGGGTTTGTAGAGTTAGTGGCTTATTCATGTGGACAATAGAGTTGTGAGGGAGTGAGGGGAAATGACAGTTCATGTGGGGCTGGCCCAGGAAGCTGGAGGGGGATGAAGTGGCGATGCACACTTAGAGGGAGCAGATGTCAGTTCATGTAGGCTGTACCAAGAGATGCAGAAGGCTGAATGGGATGGCATGGGAGAGGCATTCGAGGCCAGCTCCTGTGCAGCTGCACTGGAGAGATGCAGAGCGTCAGAGAGGGAAAGGAAAAGCCACTGAGGACAGCTTATGTGTGGCTGTATCTGCAGAGGTAGCCGGAGTGTGGGGCAAGGGAAAGGAGAGGGAACGGAGCTTAGTTCACGTGTGGCTGGACCAGAGATGTATGGTGGGGAAGGGGAAGGAAAGGAGATGGAGCTGAGTTCATGTCATGGAGGGCTGGACCAGAGAGATGTAGGGAGAGTGACTGGGTAAGTTCTAAGGGGTGTGAAGGTGGCATATGATTGCATAAAGACATATACTATTGGAGAGGAGTGAAAAGACTGGGCCCTGCCTCCCATTTTGTTGTTAGGGAGGGAGAGGCAGGGTGAGTGGGTTCAAATACCGGTCATTTCAGAGCTGCAGGGGACAGGCAGGGAGACAGAGGTAGCAGGGGTCAGCCCTTGCGGGTGGACCAGAGAGATGGAGGAGTGGGGTGGGTTTGGAATGGAGAGGTAACAGAGGTCAGTTCATGTGGGACTGGACCAGAAGGACACTGGGGAGTGGGAGAAGATCAGAAGTAAAGGGACTGAGGTCAGTTCATGCAGCGTGGGACGGACCAATGTAGGGAGGTGGTGGGGAAGGGGCAGGAGAGAAAGCAGAGGGCAGTTCATGTGGGGCTGGACCAAAGAAATGTCGGTTGCGTGTAGGGATTGGGCTGGAGAGAGGGCAAAGATTCATTCATGTGCAGCTGCGGCAGAGGGCAGTAGTGCAATGGGGGGAGACAGGGCACAGGAGAGAGCAGAGAGCAGTTCATGCGGGGTTGGACTGGAGAGCTGCAGGAGGGTGGGGGTGGAATTTTGAACTAGAGAGGTCAGAGATTGCTTCATGTGAGGTTGAACTAAAAAGTTCAATCAGAGTTGGAGAAAAAGGGGAGGAAGAGGGAGCAGGGGTTCCTTCATGTGGGGCTGGACCAGAGGGATGCCAGAGGAGTTGAGGGGGATGGAAAAGTAGAGGGAGCAGAGATTAGTTCATGCAAAGATGGAGCAAACAGGTGCAAAGGCTTAGAGACATAGGGAGCAAGAGAGGTCATCTCACAATGGACTGGGTACTGGGAAGGAGATTGAGCCCAGAGTTAGTTCATGTGGGGCTGGACCAGAGAGGTAGAGGGGGATGGGGGGGATAAGGGGATGGGGATGGAGAGAGAGCAGAGGTCAGTTGATATGGGGTTGGACTAGAGAGATCTGGCGGGATGGTGGAGAGGGCTAGGGAATGCAGGCCAGTTCCCTGAGGATGGACCAGAGAGCCGGAGGGGAGGAAGGGTAGGGGGACGGAGAGGGAGAATAGTCAGTTTGTGTTTGGTCTTGTGGGCCTCCTTAATAACTTAGGGTTGTGCTAAATTTCCTTGAAAAACCTGTCCAGCAGATTCGTCTTTTCTTTGCTTCCAAGTGTTAGAACTACTGTGAACAGCAGAATTTGTTGGTAGACATGCTCAAGCCTGATATAACGAAATGATTTAAGAAAGGAGGTGGTTCAGTTTCTGTCTCTGTAAGACATGGAACAGCTGCTGGGACTGAGATTTTTTTAAGTTCTATGATGACCGGGAAGAGAAGAAAGAACACATTTTTTACCACTTTTCTTGTTTAACCACCTCTTTAGGAAGCCTAGGAGTTAGACTGTGAGGTTAGACCCAGGTGTCTCAGGGACCACGTGGCTCCCTACCATCCACTGGGGGAAATTTCCTTAAAGTTCAATCTGGCTTTTGAGAATGCTGACCTTTCAAATGCAACCTCAAGTGCCAGGATGTCTGACTGTCATTGGGCCAACCTCAAAACTTGATCTTAGAGCAGCTCTTCCCTTGAGGGACTCCTGCTGTCAAGGATAACTGTATTCCAGGGCTGCTCAACTTTATTTTATGTTTTTGTCACACCTTTGAATACTAGAATTTTGACAATATGCTAGAAGGAAGTAATACACTCAAAACAACAGTTTAACGAGAATTGCAACTTAGTCACTACTCTAGGCCAGTAGGCAGCCCACTATACACTTAGTCACCCTTCAGTTGGACTGGACCGGCTTGCTGTCCAGATGGTGTCAAGTTCCTGCACAGTGCAGAAGCTACCCCTTTTTGAGCTAGCTCCTCCATCACCATTAGTGAGAAGTATCTTACAGCAGGTTGCTCCTTTCTCCACTCCATGTCTCATGACCTGCTTAGTTCATCGTCCTACATGCTGGAAGCCGCTGGAATGGCCACATCTTCAGTTGTAGCAAAAATAGTGCCTCTGCATCAGCTGCAGCTGTGAAGCTGAGACATCATCCTTGTGTGCCATGCTCGGACATATCGGACCCATTTGCTGACCCAAATCTCTGTCAGTAGCCCTCCAAATTCTTATGTGGGTTTGTGGACCCATTTCAAAGAACATCGCCATCAGCACTTGCTGTATCTGGAGCTAAAGTTACCCTCATTTCTAGCTTTTCCCTGCAGCCTCCCAGTCATCTGGTCTTCCAAGCCTCTCCTTAACCACCACCGTTTGCCTTTATCTTTCTGATGCAGTGGTTTAGAGGATTGATGTCATTTTCATTTTCTTTTTTGTCTTTGCCTTATATGTCACCCAGACTTTCCCTACAGTATTCACACTCATCCACCCCTTTCTTTTTCATTTCTGAAGCCACCACCTCAACTCAAATTCAGATTGCTGAAATGTCCTCCTAGCTGATTTCCCTGTCCTGTCTTTTCCCAAGACAATCTGCAGTACTGTCTTTGTCATGCCATTATTTTGCTCAGGGAAGAGACCTAGCCTTTTGATTCAGCCGCCCCTGGTTAAAATCCCAACTCTTCAACCCAGCAGCTGTGGTTTTGGGGGAAAGGATTCAACCCCCTCAAGCCTCAGTTTGCTCATCTAGAAAACAAAGGTGCAGAGAGGTCAAAGACAGCAAACAAAGGCTAGCGTAGAGCCTGATGCCTCTTTGCCACAGATGATGGCTGCTCATTAATTAGCCTGTTTTTCTTTTTCCCTCTGACTTGGACACCGTGTCCTTAATACATGTCTATGTGTGTTTCCCTTCATATAAAGTTAGTTGCTATATATATATGTACTCATGTCTCTGTCATTGTCCCTACTGAAATATTGTCCCCCCATCTTATCCCAAATCTGTGTTCTTCTCCTTGTGAAACTCCTCCTCAGAGCTCCCTCCTTCCAGAAAACTTGTTTTCAAATAGAGGACTGCGTCCCAGCTGGAATTCTGGAAGACAGCAGTCTTGCAGATATGTCCCTTGCCACTAGGTGGGGTGCCAGGACAGAGAGGTTCTGAGGCAGTGCCACTAAATTACCTTGAATTCAGCAGTGGTTTAAGCTGGATCTTCCTAGTGCCCCAAGAGGGCTGTGGTCTCATTTAGCCTTGGAGGGCTGTGGTCTCATCTAGCCTTGGGGTGTGATGGAGATAATGCCACAGTGGGGAGAATCCTGGTGGGGCTGTGGACCCCTTGGAAAAAGTCACCAGGTGTGGGCACTGATGGAATGACAGGTCATTTGAATGGATACCCTATTAAGTCTAGCTATAAGTGAACAAAATGATACATTTGCATTTTTGAGTGTGAGCGATCAAGATTGCTTACCTGCTACATGGGCTCATTGAGACTCCCTAACTACTTTGAACACTTCTCAACAGAAGAGAGCAGGGTGCCTTTGATGTCATCATAGCCGGGCTTTGTGCCTGGTACAATGCTCCATCCATCCATCATCAGGTTTATTAACTTACTAAGTTTGTTGATCCTATAGCAAGGATTTATTAACTCATTAAAAATGTCTAGCATTCTGTGGCTCTTTTTCTTCCTGACCATTATCCCTTGTTATGAGTTGAATTGTGACCTCTAAAATTCATATGTTGGTGTCTTAACTGCTAGGACGTCAGAAGGTGAACTTATTTGGGGGTAGGGTATTTGTGGAGGTAATCAAGTTAGAGTGAGTTTACAACAGTAGGCCTTAATCCAATACAACCAGTATTTCCTTATATCAAATAAATATATAAATAAATACTGGAAATATATACATATATGAATACTGGGAATATACATATATAAATAAACACTAGGAATATATAAATATTTCCAGTATTATAGTGCAAAATATATATATATTTACAGTATTTATTTCCTTATAAAAGGAGAAATTTGGACAGAGACACAGACACGTGTAGAGGGAAGATGATGTGAAGGGACACAGGGCAAAGACAGTCATCTTCATGCCAAGGAGAGAGGCCTGGAACACATCCTTTCTTCACAGCCCTCAGAAGGAGCTCACCCTGCTGACATCTTGATCTTTGACTTCCAGCCTCCAGAACTGCAAGACCATGTAGTTGTGTTGTTTAACTCCTCAGTCCATGGGTACTTTGTTACAGAAGCCACAGGAAGCTCATACATCCTCTCTTTTACTGAAGAACTTTCTCTGTTCCCCTAAGTGTCTCAACCAGAAGTGCACACAGTAATGTTGATGAAACAAAAGCTGAACTTGGAATCTATGCTGCAGAACTCATGACTTCATGGACACTGGATGTGGCCTCTCCTGAGAGATCCATGAGCCCCTGGGTGTGTGCAGCATTGCTACCAGAAAGCTTTCTTCTCAACTTGGAGACTGAACTTGAACATGCACGTGAGTCCATCTCCTTGCGAGATGTTGGATGTGGGGAAATATTTGTGCAATCCCTCATACAAATAGATCCAGAAGGTAAACCAATGATTAAAACTGAGTCAGCAAACCATGGGAACGATGAATAAGCAGAGGCAGGGTGACAGAGCCTCCGGATGTCGTTGGTGGTGGGATTTTCATGTCTAACCTACTATATGTAGTCTAAGAGACATGTTTTCAGGGTGAACGGGGCTATCTGAAAGACAGATGCCAACCTCGTAAGAGGCATCGTGGGGTAGCAGTAAAATGTCTCTAAAGCTGAATTTCTGGGGTTCCACCACTGGCTCTGCTCCTACTAGTGACTAGTGCAAAATGAGTGACCTGTAGCAAGTTACCCAAAGCCCCAGTACCTCGTTTGTTTCATCTGTCAAGAGTGAGGGTGGTATTAATATAATCTACTTCAAGGGCAGTTGTGAGGATTAAATAAGCTACATGACAGTCAATCAATACATATTTGTTGAATGAATACACTAAGAATTTGGCTGCAATCTTCAACTCTAGGGTTAAGGAGTTACATCATTAATCCAAGTGCTGCAATTGAGGAATATACCCTTAGAACAGGAGTTTCTAACCTGGGGCACTTGGATTTCAGGTGTCCATGAATCGCCTGGAGGAGAATTCCTGAAATTTCCTTAAATTCCCTGAAATAATGCACATGTGGCAATTTTCATCAGATTTGTTCAAAGAGTTCACGAGCCAAGATTCACACCCACTGCTCTAGATTTGGACATCATTCTGGGGGGCATGGAGAAAAATATGCAAACCCATAGCATTGTGCCATAGCTCTGTGTGTGTGTGTGTGTGTGTGTGTGTGTGTGTGTGTGTGTGTGTGTGTGTGTGTGTGTGGGGGGGTGGGGGCTGGTTTAGAGATCCTCTGTCCATACAGACATTGGCTGAGTTCAGCCTGCTTCCTGGCCCTTCGGGATTTTTTTCAGTGAGGCAGCTCTAGCATTATTTTTATGCCATGCCTGAGGGCATGAGGCTGCTGCTTCCTTGCTGCTCTGGGGCCTGGGGATCTCTATGACGCTTTCTCTGTCACTATCTAGACATCCCCTGCAATCAATCGCTCCTTGGAGCCTCTGGGATCTAGCAACTTCACCAGCTGTCTGGATTTCCCGCTCTCTCTCCTCCCTCTCCTCCAACTTTTCTTTAGCTTGAAGATCAATCTTCTGGAAGGAAAAATGCCAACAAAAGAGGATTTATTTTCTTCCAAGAAATTGCTCTCACACTTCCTTACACTGACTAAAAGGCATTTTACTTATCTGTCTTCAGCATTTTCTTAAAGCCTCAATTCATTTTCAGCTTTAGCTTTCCCCAGATTAATTATTCGTTAGGATCCACACCATTTCGTATGTGCTTTTTATCCATCACTAGATCTGTCCCCTCCTTCTATCTTTTGCATTTATTCATTTATTCATTTATCCACTCACTCAGCAAATACTTAGCACCTATTCCGATCCAGGCCTTGCAGAGAAAAAAAATAAAGTCCCTGGCCTCGTGGAATTTACATTTTAGTGAAGAAGACAGGAAACAAGCTCAAACAAATAAAGGGGGGTAAGGAGGCGGAAATGGATGGAGGGGGTGCTATTTTGGGGAGGGTGGTCAGGGAAGGCCTTGCCATGAAGCCCTGTAAGGATCTGGGAAAGAGTGCCCAGGCAGATGGAACAGCAAGTGCAAAGGCCCTGAAACAGCAACAGGCTTGGCACAAGTGAGGAACAGTGAAGAAGCATGTGTGGTGGCAGCAGGAGGCAGGCAGTGAGTCAGGCCTCACAAACCCCATAAGGTAAGGGTATGTTCTATGGGGGATGAGGAGTCATCACGGGGTTCTGAGCAGGAAAGAAACCCGAATAGCATTGCCACTGCACTCTCTTTCTCTCCAGTTTGGCCTACACGCTTTTGTTTTTTTCTTAATCTTTCTTGCTTAGAATTTTAACTGCCTATAATGCCCATCCGGACAATTGCTCAAGGCACCAGAGCTTCCTGCTATGGGTTCAGGCTCCCTAAAAGGCCCATATGGCTAGTGTGATGGTTAATTTTATGTGTCAACTGGACTGGGCCACGGAGTGCCCAGACATTTGGTCAGACGTCATTCCCGGTGTGTCTGTGAGGGTGTTTCTGGATGAGATTAGCATTTGAGTTAGGAGACTGGGTAAAGATTGCCACCCATTATGTGGGTGGGCCTCATCCAGGTAGTTAAAGGCCTGAATAGAAAAAAAAGGCCAACTCTCCCCCAAGTAAGAGAGAATCCCTCCTGCTTGAAGGCCTTCAAACTGGGACATTGGCTTTTTCCTGCCTTTGGACTCAAACTGCAGCATCGGCTTCTCTTGAGTCTTGAGCCTGCTGGGCTTTGGACTGGAACTATGTCATCAGCTCTCCTGGGTCTCAGGCCTTCGAACTCTGACTGGAACTACATTATCAGCTCTCCTGGATCTCCAGCTTGCCAACTCACCCTGCAGATCTGGAAACTTGCCAGCCTCCATAACAGTGTTAGTCAGTTCCTTATAACCAACTTGTATATATTTATATATAATATAGACATAGATTTATATTTATAATCTAAATATATATGTTTAAATATGTATATTTATATGTATTATGTTACTCCTTACAAATGTATCTATCTTTCCTATTGGCTGCTGCTCTGGAGAACCCTGATTAACACAGGCAGCAGAGGGCGATCTCTCACCAAACACTGGCTGTTTCCCACGTTCGTCCTGTTGGATAGTTGTTTTCTCTGAAGGGGTGAAAAATCTTCCTCATTCCTTTTTTTTCCAGACAAAAGAAGGTAATTTCAGAGAAAGAGAGAAGCATAAAGAGTTGTTGGCATATGTGATAGGAGAAGTTCAGCTCAGATCAGGCCTGAGACGACCTAGGCAATGCATTCTACATGAGGCAGACACCAAAGTTCTTCTGCTAGTGACTTCAGCCAACACAGCATACTCTTCCTGGAAATCAAAGACCACGTTATAACCAGCAGTACAAGCTAAAGGGCAAAATTTTCGAAGTGGAACTTCTCTAACAGAAAAAAACAACAACAACAGTGGAACAGTTGGAAAGAAGGAAGAAAACTGACAGTGACAGAATGGCTATGTTTCCATTACGCATAATCTTGCATTCACGCACACATAAGAATACAAATGCAAAACAACACAAAACAAAAAGCAGAATGATACAATGGACTTTGGGGACTTGGGGGGATGAGTGGGAGGGGGGTCAAGGGATAAAAGACAACAAATATGGTGCAGCGTATACTGCTTGGGTGATGGGTCCACCAGGTTCTCACAAATCTCCACTAAAGAACTTACTCATGTAACCAAATACCACCTGCACCCCAATAACTTATGGAAAAATAAAATTTAAAAAAAAAGAAATCTGTGTTTGCCCACGTATAATGAAGATATTTTCCTGTGTTTTCTTCTGTAAGTTTTATAGTTTTGTTTTCCATGTTTCGTGTCTATTTCATCTTAATTTTTTGGTGGGTGGCAAAATTTTCCTTCTGAACCCATATGGAGACTCATTTGTTCCAGCATCACTTATTGAATAGTTTACCTTTTCCCAACTGATTTATAAATATATAAAAATTCTGCCATAAAAAAAAATCCATATATGAAAAAAAAAGAACACAAATGCAGAGAACAAGATCAGGAAAGATGCATACCAAATTTTTAACAGTGATTTTCTCTGGAGAGGGGAAGGAGGTTGGACGTGGCTACAGTGAAGTGGATTTTTAAATTCTATTCTGGGTTTGAATTTGTCAGAACAAAATTGTATTCATATATAACATTTATACTTAAAACTGTTCTTAGATACAGCTTCACACATGCTAGGACACGCTAGGACGGCTATAATAAAAAAATAAGGAAAATAACAAGTGTTGGCAAGTATGTGGAATAACTGGAACCTGGATTTATTGCTGATGGGAATGTAAAATGGTGCAGCCACCTTGGGAAACAGTGTGGCAGTTCCTCAGACGGTTAAGCATAGAATTATGATATGACCTAGCAATCACACTTCAAGATATAGATGCAAAAGAATTGAAAACAGGGACTTGAAAAGATATTTATACACCAATGTTCATAGCAACATTATTCATTATAGCCAAAAGTAGAAACCCAAGTGCATCCCAACAGATGAGTGGATAAACAAGATATGGTCTAGCCATACAATGGAATATTATTGAGCCACGAAAAGGGATGAAACTCTCATACATGCTATAACGTGGATGTACTATTAAAAACTACGCTTCCTGATAAAAACCAGACACAGAGGACAAATATTATATGATTCCACTTATATGAGGTACCTAGAATAGGCCAATTTTAGAGACAGAAAGTAGAATAGAGGTCACTGGAGGCTCAGGTGAAGGGGAAAGAGGAGTTACTGTTGAATGGGCATGGAGTTTTTGTTGATAGTGACAATTTTGGGGTATAGATAGTGGTAAAAGTTACACAACATTGTAAATATATTTAATGCCACTGAATTAGCAACAAATTGTTACATTGAAAAAGATTGTGTTATATATATTTTACTACAATAAAAAACTGACAAAATACTTAAGAGAAAGGGGTGTTATACTATTATATCCAGTTGCACCCTTTCATAGAGGAGAGAACAGTGGATTCCAGGATCTAGAGAGGGGAAGCCTCAGTTTTATGGGTAGCGGGCTTGCATGAAGCAGCAAATGCTACAGAAGTTTCTCGCAGCTGGAATATAATGAGACATGAGAATCAGCTGTCATCAGGCTCACAGTAAACTTTGTGAGTGAATGGACTGGTTTTATCTTTGCTCATCATTGCAACCTTAGTTTCTAGCACGGTATCTGGTGCCTGTAGGCACTCGATAAACATTTATTGAATGAATGAATGTATGCATGAATATCTGTGACTTCCTAGTAATCTATTAAAAAAAAACTATCTGTCCCATCAGTTTGGGCTGCATTGTCAATCATTTGATGCATAATTAGAAGAACAGGCCCATAATGCAAATATTTGGTTGTCATTAGCATAGAGATAGTGTATTAGTTGGGCCAGGTTAATTGCTTCATCAAACAATTTCTGTATTTCAGTGAGCTGACTCAATAAAGGATTATTTTTCACTCATGTTCAAAGTCAGTGGGGGTGGGTTGGGGTGGAGGCCGGGCTCTGTTTTATTCAGGGTATTAGACATCCAGCTTCCTCTTGTCCAGTAGTTCCAGGGGCCCCTAGGCACTCAGAGATCTCCACTGGCATTTTTTTTTTTTTTTGGCACCGGGCTGGCAGATGAATGAAAAGAGAGAACATGGAAGATCACGTGTGAGGTTTGAGTGGCCAGACCTGCAAGTGTTAAACATCTCTTCTTCCCACATCCCATTGGTCAGAAGCTAGTGGCACATAATCAAAAGGGATTCCAGGAAATGTGGTCTAACTGCATGTAAAGCAGGAAAAGGAAACCGTGTTTGGTGAACATGCAGCATGGTCCATGTTGCAGGTAATGTTGGAAGCCATAGATGAGGGGGAGTGCTCCTAGGTAAACTGTGGTGAGCCTGTTAAGAGAATGTAACCCAGCCCCGAAATCCTAGGAGCTTCCGTGTTTAAGAAGTGGGAAGAGGAGGAGAGGCCAAGAAGGGGGATGGAAAATAAGGAAAGCAACTGCAGGAAACCCAAGAGGATGGAAGGGCACAGAAGCAAAGGGAGAGGAAGTGGTCACCTGGGTGAAGCTAGTGAAGGCTGGAGTTTGCCCTCTGGATTTAGCAACATAAGCTCATTGACCTTAGCAAGAGCAGTTTGTGTGGTGTGGTGGGAGTAGAAATAAGATTGCCGTGGCTTAGGATTGAAAAGTGGCTGAGGAAACAGAGGGCCACATGCAGACGTTTTGAGAAATGTGACCGTAAAAGGGTGGAAAGAGAGTTAGCATGGTAGCTAGTGGCCATGTGGGGGTGGCAGTGGGAGAATTTTCTTTTTTTAATGGGAAAGACTTGAGAATGTTTGATTGTTTAGATGAAAGAAAATACAGTAAGTAAGAGTGTGGTATACTACCAGGAACGAATAAATGGACTATTGGAACAGAAGAAATAGTCTTGAAACAGGCTTATGTGCATATGGCAATCTGGTTTATGGTAGGGGTGGTATTAAAAATTGATGTGAAATGATAGGCCGTTTCTGAGACAGACAGGCATGCACCTATGTATGTGGTAATCTGTGTATATTGTATACTTTCATTTTTCCAGAAAGGATTTAAAACAGCTTAAAAAGATGAATTCTATGCAATAGAGTAAGACAAGCGTTTAAAGAGGGAGAAAATGACGTGGGGACAATGAGGGGAAACATGCATTTAGGTTTTACAACTTTAAGTATCTCTTTGATGCTGACTGCTTTAAACGTCCGTGCTAAGCTGATGTTAAGTATTTTGATCAACTAGTGCTGTGATCTATTAGACTGATAATTCTTTATGTAACTTGCTCTGCAATGTCCCATTTAAGGCAGAGATTCATATTTATTCTGGACGTTGTTCTGAAAAATCATGCAGTTTCTGCTCTTTGCTCCGTGTACTGTGCGACAGCCTTTGACCACAAGCAATAAAACCTGACATGAACGTTAGACAGGCACTGACTGTTCTGGTAGCAGAAATAGCTTCTAAATCAGACAGCAAGCTTGGTTTCATTTTTATATAATCATATCTGTTCCTGACCCCAGATGGCACCCCATGAGCCATCTTCTGCTGTATTTACTCTGAACTCTTTCTCCTAAGCTGTTGGAAACCCCTAAGCCTTTGCTTATCCTTATGTCTACAATGTCCCTTTATTCCCTGTCTCCTCTCAGCAGACTCTTTACAAGATCTAGCTTACCTGTCTGTCACACGCTCGAGGGGATGCTTTCAGGATTCCTCCATGCTGGATTTGTACTCTTCTCTGTGCTTCCCCAGCCCTTGTTCTCTTCATCATGGCACGGAAGCCTCGCAGCAGAGAGATGGGATTTTCTTTCTCTTTTTGTAAATAAAGATGGGAGTCTTGCTCTGTCACCCAGCCTGGAGTGCAGTGGCGTGACCTTAGCTCACTGCAGCCTCAAACTCCTGGGCTCAAGCAATCCTCCCACCTCAGCCTCCTGAGTAGCTCAAACTACTGTCACATGTCACCACGCCTGGCTAAAGAAGGTGGGATTTCTATTTAAAAATACAACTGCCATATCAACAAGAATGATGGTTCCATGGGAGTGTACATTTGTTAAATTTTTCACTAAGTTGGACACAATATCTGGGTAATTTATTGTATGTATGTTATACCCCAATAAAGCACCATTAACCTAAAATTGTTTTAACAAAAGAAGAAAGAAGAAAAATCTCCTTAACTATCTGCAGTTGCTTTTGCTTTTCAGGCGAGTAACATGGTTGTCCCTGGGTAGATAGCTCTTTGTTTAGGAAGATACCTGGCTGCCTCTGGGTTGAAATGAGGGAGTCACAGAGAGAGCTGAATTGCTCCTCCACATAAAGGCAACAGAATCTGTGATTTCCTGATGTAGCTACTTTAATAGTAAAGGAAGAATGTTCCCTTAGTGCTGGTGTTCATGAACCCCATGCACCTGGAACTCTGGTGTGTGACACTTATAAAGGCTTGTCATATTCACTCTTTTGTTTGGTCCTTAGGGTTAGGGTAAATGTTGATATGGCTCCAGAGTCCTTCTGTCAAAGGATCCAGCCACGGCAGTCCTCTTAGTCTAGGGCAGGAATGCAAACCACAGGGAAGCTTTGAGTCTGGGGTTGGGAGATCTGTGCCAGGAAGTCCCTGAGCCCACAGGGCAGCAGAGGGATGGGCATGCCTAGGAAAGGGATTCAGACCTTCTGAATTGGGCGAATTGGGGTGCAATTCCCCCTAGGCTGGTGGAGTGGAAAACACAGGCTTAGGGACAGATCAAGCTGCGTTCAAGTCCTGGCATGGCTGCCTACTGGTTTGACCCTGAGCAAGATAGTTAACCCCTTAAAGTCTTGGGCCCTTTCTCTGTGAAAGAGTCATAGGCTTTATTTCACAGGAGTGGGAGGAATGAAGGATGTTATACTAGTCTGCTCCAGCTACCATGACAAAGCATCACAGACTGGGAGGCTTAAACCATAAAAATGCATCGTCTCCCAGATCTGGAGGCTGGAAGTTGGAGACCAAGGTGTGGGCAGGGTTGGTTCATTCTGAGGCCTCTGTCCTTGGCTTGTAGATGGCCCACTTCTCCCTGCGTCCGCACATGGTTCTCCCTCTGCACAAGTCTGTGTCTGAATCTCCTTTTTTAACATGGACACCAGTCATATTGGATCAGGGACCACCCTAACGGCCTCATTCTATCTTAATTACCTATTTAAAGGCCCCATGTCTAAACAGTCACATTCTGAGGTACTAGGGCTTAGGAATTCAATATATGAATTTTGGGGGACACCAGATAGCCCCTAACAGGTGTTGTCCTGCTGTCACCTCCTCAGCTCCTATTCCAATTGTATTTTCTTAATGCTGTCTGCTTCCCTACGAGCCTGAGAGCTCCCTAAAGCCTGGATTTCTCCAGTTCTGAGTTGGATCCTTAGAACAAGTGAGGGAGCTGTGATTCCAGCTACCCCTACCTTTCTGCCACGGGAACCCCAGGAATGCCTTCCCACACTGAAGGCCTGTTTCAGTCTAGTTGCTGGTGCCTGAAAGCAGCTAAGTGCAAATGCATTAGCCCCTGAGGTGCACTTTCAGTCACGTGAACTTAGACTAAGTACATCTGCTCCCTACGGGTCAGCTTTCTCTCTTATAAAATAAAGGTTTTAGCTAGGACTGGCTATAAAACTTGTGGGGCCTAGTGCAAAATAAAAATTCAGGGCCCCTTGTTTAAAAATTATTAAGCATTTCAAGTCAGTGGCAGTAGAGCATTAATTCAAGCGTGCAGAGCCCTTCTAAGTGTGGGACGCTGTGTGACTGCTTAGGCTGCACACTCCTGAGACTGGCCTTCGTTCTAATCTTGGACCTTCTCTTGAAACCGAGCAGGTGTATACTGTGCGATAATCTTGGGAAAAGTGCTTTAGAAACAGCCAAGTGCTGGACTTGAAGGTTGCAAGCTTCCCAAAGTCTACTGTCTTCCTCTTCCTGGCATCCGTTGGGCTCATTTGGACTTTTCTAATCAGTTTGCTTACCCAGAGCACTCCCTCTTCATCCCCCTCTCAAGATCTCCTCATTCAATGCACAGCATCCTTTCGCTTGGCTATGGGGCTGGGTGCCCCAAAGGATCAGAGTCAAAGGGGACCATCCATCCCCTAGGGGTCAGACCCACATCTCTGCCAGCACCTCTGCCCTGGGGCTAGAGCTGTCTTGCTCATCTGGCAGCCTGGGAAATCCCAGCGTTCCCTAGCAACAAGACCCATCTGGAGCTGTTGCTAGGGAAACCCTGGGATTTCCATAGCTACCGAGAACACACCAAGCATCTCTGCTCCCACAGCTGAATATATCTGGTGCCAGCAGAAGACGGGGGAAGGGAGGTGATCTGCTGCTGCCAGGGGGGGCAGAGCTGGTTTCTCTGAATCTCATTACCTGCACAAAGAGGGGTAAACAGGTCACCAGGGACAGGACCACTCCTCCAGGCTGATGAGTAGACAGTCCTTCCTCACACAAAAACCTCCAAGAAGTGGCTAGTCAATTTGGAACTGTATAGTCCGTTGGGGTCCCACAGTACCTGCTGCCTGTGGGACAGAAATCCCCAGACTGTGTTGTATCTATATATCTGTGTGCCCTCCCACTCTCAGTGGCTGGGATCTTTCCAAAGCCAGTGACCAAGGTCTTTATCATGGGCTGCTGTGTCCTCAGTGCCCAGCACAGGGAACCTTCTCCTTGGTTGTCTGGGGAAATCTGTGTGTTCCTTCTCAGAATAATGTTTTTGAAGGCATGAAATAAAATTGATAGGAATACAAAGAAAGCTATTTTATTGAAAGACAGTTATCAAAATATTTTTCTAAGCCACAATTGTGATGCCATAAAATGTATGTGCATCTTCATTAATGTGTTAAATAATAGAATTGAGGAAAGGTCTAATAACTGTTGTAATTTGGAAGTAGTGACAAGTATAAAGCATATTTGAAGAGCTGCTGCCACAGTTAATGTAATATGAAAATATCAGGGATTTCACTCGGTGACTGTTATAAGTACTGCTAATCTTCCTGTGGTTGATTGCCTGCATTCGTTATCCATGATGGTAATTTCAACTAGAGGTTAGTAAAAATTTAAAAAAAAAGTATTCTTTCACGATCTAATTGCATGGACTCCCTAAATTTTATGGAGGTTGTGAACTCTGGGTTTGGATATTGCCCAATGCGTGAATGAATAAATAAATTCATGCTCAGGGTCCTTGATCAAGTGAGTGGCTCAGCAAGAGAAAGGGAGGTCTTGTCACCCTCAGTCACCATGCTCCTTGTCCTCTCTTCCTTTAAGAGCTGAGGAGAATCTCAACAAATGATGTTGGGACAACTTGTTATCCACATGCAAAATAATGAAATTGGACCCTCACTTTACATCATATACTAAAATTAACTCAAATGGATGAAAGACCTAAACACAAGTGCCAAAACTGTAAACTGAAGAAAACAGAGGGGAGAAGCTTCATGACATTGGATGTGGCAATGCTTTCTTGGATACAATGACAAAAATACAGGCAACAAAAGAACAAATAGACAAATGAGACTACTTCTTTTTTTTTTTTTTTTTTTTTTTTTTTTTTTTGGAAACGGGATCTCACTCTGTTGTGTAGGCTGGAGTGCAGTGGTGCAATCATGGCTTACTGCAGCCTCGAACTCCTAGGCTCAAGTGGTACTCTTGCCTCAGCCTCCTGGGTAGTTGGGACTACTGGCACGCGCCAACACTCCTGGCTAAAACTTTTTAAAAATTCTTTTAAAAATAAAAACAGGGTCTCCCTACGTTGTCCAGGCTGGTCTTGAACTCCTGGGCTGAAGTGATTCCCTTGCTTGGCCTCCCAAAGTGCTGGGATTATAGGCATGACCCACCACGCTGGCCTACATCAAAATTAAAAACTTCTGCACATCAAAGGAACAATCAACAATATTAAAAGGCAATCAATGGAATGGGAGAAAATATTTGCAATTCACACATCTGATAAGGGGTTACTATCAAGAATATATAAAGAACTTTTACAACCAAACAACAACAAGAAACAAGCGAGATTTAAAAATGGGCAAAAGGCTTGAATAGATGATACTTCAAAGAAGATATACAAATGACCAATAAGTATATGAAAAGATGTTCAACATCACCAGTTAGGGAAATGCAAATCAAAACTATTGTGAGATACCACCTCACACTCAGTGGGATGGCTAGTATCACAAAAACAGAAAACAAATGTTGGTGAGGATGTGGAGAAATTGGAACCCTTGTGCACCCTTATACACCATATGTGGGAATGTAAAATGGTGGAAGATAGAATGGATGTTCCTTGAAATATTCAACACAGAATTACCATATGATCTAGCAATCTCGTTTCTGGGTATGTATCCAAAAGAACTGAAAGCAGATCGAAGAGATATTTGTGTACTCATGTTCACAGCAGCATTATTCATAATATCCAGCTGGTGGATCAAGACAAATTTCCATCAATGGATGAATAGATAAGCCAAATGTGGTCCATCCATACAATGGACTATTATTCAGTCTTAAAAAGGAACGACATTCTGACACATGCTACGCATGGATGACCCTAGAGAGCATTACGCTCAGTGAAGTAAGCCACTCACAAAAGGACAATTAGTGTAGGATTCCACTGATACAAGGTCCCTAGAATGGTCAAATCCATAGTGACAGACAGTAGAATGGTCAGTGCCGGGGGTAGGGGGAGGGAGAATGGGGAGTTAGTGTTTAATGGGGACAGAGGTTTAGTTTGACAAGTCTGTGGATGGATGGTGGTGATGGTTGCACAACACTGTGAATGTGCTTAATGTACCACTGAACTGTACACTTAAAAATCATGAAGATGGTACATTTTATATGATGTGTATTTTACCACAATTAAAAGTAAAAAGAGGTGAGGAAAGGAGCAGCAGCCTTGAAAATGCCTTGTCAGGAAAGAAGCTGCCCATGAATCCTAGCAGTGGCCTAGCAGGGAACCAATAGCCTCCCTGCTTGGTTCTGCAACCTGAGGACCAGTGAGCTAGTATTTGGGACAAATGACCCCTACTCCCACACTGCCTTCTGGGCTATTGGAGAAAGATGCCTGCTACAAGACGCTGCACTGCAGGCCCTGGGGGATCTGCCAACAGCTCTCAGCTCTCAGCCCTGCCAGCCTTCTGCTTTCCAGCTCCTCATGTCCTACAGGCTGGCCTGAGACCCACGCAGACATAGTGGCTTCTTAGCCAACCACGTGGGGAAGCAAAGCCAGATAGGGAATTGCCCCACAATCTCGCAATAGAATCATCACAGGGCATGGGAGCTTGGTAAGCTTGAGCCTCTGGACAGGGTGAGCCTCACAGGCCACAGAAGCTCAAGGGCAGAAAGGCAGTATCCACAGGGACCCCAGCACAGCAAAAAGGAGTTTTGCTTGAGGGGGTGAAGGAACCTTGGGCTTCAGATTTTAGCTAAGCAGGGAGAGTGGCAGGAGCCCAGGCTGGACAGGAGGCCAATGTCCCCACCATGCAGGACCCCATGGGCCATGGAAAGGGGTCTGGACTTTATTCCAAGGAAAGTGGGGAGTCCCTAGAAGGTTCTCTTATTTTATTTATTTATTTATTTATTTATTTATTTATTTATTTATTTTTTAGACGGAGTTTTACTCTTGTTGCCCAGGCTGGAGTGCAATAGCGTGATCTTGGCTCACTGCAACCTCCGCCTCCCAGGTTCAGGCGATTCTCCTGCCTCAGCCTCCCAAGTAGCTGGGATTACAGGCATGTGCCATGATGCCCAGCTAATTTTTGTATTTTTAGTAGAGATGGCGTTTCTCCATGTTGGTCAGACTGGTCTCAAACTCCCGACCTCAGGTGATCCGCCCACATCGACCTCCCAAAGTGCTGGGATTACAGGCATGAGCCACCGTGCCCGGCCTATTTTATTGTGTTTTAAAAATTCTGTGTTTTATGTCTTCAAATATGTTTAGCACGTTCATTTTATAGTCACTATCTCATCATGCTATAACATAAGGCCCCCGAGCAATCCTTTGGCATCTTAAGGTCTGGTTTCTGATTGGGCCAGTAGTTTTAGGAGCTTCCACAGTAAAACGTCTTTGGTGAACTCATCATCATTGCTGTGCAGGGAACTGCTGGCAGTGGCAGTGGTGAGGAACTGCCCTCAGCTGACTTCCCTGGACCTAGAAATGAACAGTGGGAGCAGAAACGACAAAGGATACTTTGTGTTTCAGGCTAAGTGTAGATGAGCGACTTGTTTGTCAGCCCAGGTGCATCACTCTCTAGAAATTTCAGAGATCTCTGGGCAAAGGTTTGATGCCACAGACAGATTTGTGATAATAGCTATAAGCCAATTGAGGGGTATGGACTCAGTGAAACATACCTCTGTGGACAGATTCTACATGTCCTAAATTATTTACCAAGATCTGGATGCAAAAACCCAGAATGTTTTTTCAGTCCAAACCAATCAACTCACAAAAGAAAAACAGGTCCAGAAGTGGGCAGTTGCCTGATCAGAGTTACACAGGAAATTCAGGACTATGACTCAGTTTTTCTACTTTCTATATACATGTTCTTTTCACTACAAGATGTCATTCTACTTCCAGTCATTTGTATCTCCCAATCTGTTCTGCCTCCAGTGTTCTATGGCTCTGTTATTGACATCAACAACTGCTGAATGGCCCAAACCGGAAATCTGGAAGTCATCATGACACATCCCTCTCCATCAGTCCCCACATCCTATCCATTGCCGGGTCCTACCTATTCCTCACGTCGATTCAGTTTTCTCCATCTCCACTGCCTTCATTCCAGTCAACTAACAAACATTTATTAAGGACCTACAATTCTGAGGCACCATTCTAGATATTAGGACACAGCAAGTGAAGAAGATAAAGTCCCTGCCCTCAAGGATTCTACATTCTGGGGTGTGTGTGTGTGTGTGTGTGTGTGTGTGTGTGAGAGAGAGAGAGAGAGAGAGAGAGGAAGAGAGTAAGAATGAGCAGTGATGGACAACTAAAAAGAAAAGGTAATTAAATGCATGACTAAAACCATTGAGTCATACAGTTTAAATGGATGGCGTATATGAGATGTAAATTATATCTCAATATAGCTGTTTAAAAGTGCCTATTACTTACTGGCTGGGTGTGGTAGTTTATGCCTGTAGTCCCAGCACTTTGGGAGGCTGAGACAGGAGGACTGCTTGAGGCCAGGAATTTGAGGCCCCATCTGGGCAACACAGCGAGACCCCATCCCTATACAAAAGATAAATAAAATAAAAATGTCTATGATACATTTGTGCTTCTTTTTCTGTTAAACTCCTGTTTATTTATTTTTCCCATTTTTTTTCTAGCAGGTTATTTGTCATCTTCTTGTTAGTTATATGAGTTTCTTACATATTTTTTGTGTACTAATCCTTAGTTAAATATATTCATTTAAATATTTTTCTAAGTGTGAAATATACAAAAAACCTGCAAATACATACAGTTTAGCAGTGATTATGAAATCAGCACTCATATATTCACTACACAAGTCTAGATATAGAACATTATCAGCAATGCAGAAGCTCACCTATGTAAATTGTGGTCAAGTTTCTCCACGGTAAAGGGAGAATTTTGTAATAATCATCTTATTTTTTCCTTTTGTTGTACTACCTTGCAATACATTTATTAACAATATTGTTTAGTGTCACTTGAGTTTTAAACTTTTTATTCAGGTTTAATTTTCAATAGTTACTGACATAGATTTTGAGCCCATGGTTATATGAGTTTTGACAAATGTGAATACTTATGTATCCATCACCAAAATTAAGATGTAGAACTTTTTCATGACCTCAGAAAGTTCTCCATTTCATTTTATATTTAATCTTTCCTCATCCAAGGCACCCTCTATTCTGTTTGCCATCATTATAAATTAATTTTGCATATAATTAAAATCATATAGTATGTACTCTGTTGTGTCAGGATTCTTTCCCTCAACATAATGTTTTTGAGATTCATTCATTGTGTTGCATGAATCAGTATTTTATTCATTCTTATTGCTGGATTCCATTGTATGGATATATCACAATTTTTTAAACCATCTACCTGTTAACCTGTTAACAGACATTTGGGTTGTTTTCATGTTTGGCTGTTATTACCCTCCTATGAGCATCTTATACAAATATTTCTGTAGACCTATGGCTTCATTTATTTTGAGAAAAATACTTAGAAGTAGAATTTCTGGGAAAGGGCTAGTGTGTGCTTAACCATTTTAAAACTGCCTGTGTTTGGTCAGATTAAGAGGTCTGTATGAAGGAACTTATTATTGGAAAGTACTTTCAGGAACAACATCTGTGAGGAAGTGAAGGAAGTAGGGAGGAAGAAGTGGCAGAGAAAGCATTCACCTGTGGCCCAGTCATGATGGAGACTTCATCCTATCCCATGGGGATCCTTGTGGCTGACATGTCCCTTCAGAGTTGTCTTAAATTGAGTCAAAGGGGCCCAGTCTTTATACTCTTGCACTTACAAGTCATTGGATGTAGATTATTCCTAGGGAGATTACATAATCTTTGATTAGGTTATACCCTCCAATTAAAAAGAAAAGATTGTCATATTTGATAAAAAGAATGATTCAATTATATTTTTCTATAAAACCCTACTTTAAATATGAAGAAACAGATAAATCAGAAATAAAAGAATGCTAAATGATAGAACATGAATTAACTATACTAACATCAGATGAAATAGATTTCAGAGCAAGGAATATTATCAGGGATTAAAAATAGATATTTCATAATGACAAAGGAGCCAATCTACCCAGAAGACATACTAATTCTAAATGTGTATGCACCTAATAATAGAACTTCAAAATAAATGAAGCAAAAAATTATTTATAGGAGAAATAGACAAATCCACAACTGTATTTAGAAATGTCAATATCTTTCTTTCAATAATCGATAGAACTAGTGCACAAACATCAATAAAAATATGGAAGACTTGAACAGCATTATCTGTGTTCGTAACATAATCGACATCTACACAACATTCCATCCAACAACATCAATATACATACTCATGTCACATTTTTTAAAGGTGCACATAGAACATTTACCAAGATAGCCTATGTCCTGGGCCATAAAATAAGTCTAAGTAAATAAAAAGGATTGAAGTAATAAAGGTATGTTCTTGCTCAGTAGCAGAATTAAGTTAGAAGTCAACAACAGAATTATATTTGGGAAATTAAAAAATATTTGGAAATTTAAAATTATACTTCTAAATAATCCACACATCAAAGATAATTTGTCTCAAGGGAAATTTAAAAACTTTTGGAACTGAATTAAAATGAAACTGGATAAAGAAAATGTGGTATATATACACCATGGAATATTATGCAACCATAAAAGGAAGCAGATCATGTCCTTTGCAGGGACATGTATGGAGCTGAAGACCATTATCCTAGCAAACTAACACAGGAACAGAAAACCAAATACTGCATGTTCTCATTTATAAGTGGGAGCTATATGATGAGAACACATGAACACTAGAGAGAAACAACACACCCTGGGGCCTATTAGAGGCTGGAGAGTGGGAGGAGGGAGAGGAGCAGAAAAAACAACTATTGGGTACTAGGCTTAATATCTGGGTGATGAAATAATCTGTACAACAAACCACCATGACGCAACTTTACCTATGTAACAAACTTGCTCATGTACCTCAAACTTAAAATAAAAGTTAAAAAAAGAAAATGCAATACCTCAAAAATTGTGGCATGCAATTAAAGTAGTACTTAGAAGGACATCTAAGTGCTTATATTAGAAAACCTTATGAAACTAGAAAAAGAAGAGCAAATTAAAGTCAATATAGGGTAATAAACAGAAAAACCGTGAAGAAAGCAATTATACTAAAAACTTGTTCCTTGAAAAGATAAATAAAAACAGTAAATTTCTAAACAGACAGCTCAGAACAAAATGAGAGAAGACACACATTACCAATATCAGCAATGAGATAGGTAACATAACCACAGATCCTAGAGCCATTAAAAAATAATGAAAATGTTGGCCCGGCACGGTAGCTCATGCCTGTAATCCCAACACCTTGGGAAGCCGAGGCTGGCGGATTGCCTGAGATCAGGAGCTCGGGACCAGTCTGGCCAATTTGGTGAAAACCTGTCTCTACTCAAAATAACAAAAAATTTAGCCGTGCATGGTGGCGTGTGCCTGTAATCCCACTCGGGAGGATGAGGCAGGGGAATTGCTTGAACCAGGGAGGTGGAGGTTGCAGTGAGCCGAGATCGCGCCCATGCACTCCAGCCTGGGCGACGGAGCAAGACTGTCTCAAAAAAAAAAAAGAGAGAGAATATTATGAACAAGCTTGTGCCAAAAATTTCAACAACTTACCACAAGTAGGCAAATTTGAGACAGAAACAATAATTGGACAGAATTCAACATCCATTTATGATTTAAAAACTCTCAGCAAATTAGTAATAGTCAGAAATTACTGCAAGTTGATAAGGAGCATGTACAAAAAAAAAAAAACCTACAGATAACATCATTACTTACAGATGAAAGACTGAATGCTTTCCGCGTAAAATTAGGCAAGGATGATTGCTCTCAGATCTTTTCGCTCTTATTCAACATAGTACTAGAAGCTCTAGACACTGTAAAAAAGCGGAGAATCCACAGATGGCAGAAAAGCACATGAAAAGATGTTCAACATCATTGCCCATTGGGAAATGCAAATCAAAACCTTAATGAAATATCACTATAATCTCTCATAACAGCTACAATAAAAAATAGTCACGGTACCAAATGTTGGCAAGGATGTGGAGAAATTGCATCACTCATATATTGATAGTGAATGTAAAATGGTACAGTCACTCTGAAAAGGAGTTTAACAGTTTCTAATAAAACTAAATATGCAATTAGCATATGAACATAAAATTAGGCTATTGGCCATTTATTACAACAAATAAAAACTTAAGGAGATTTGTCTTCAGTGTTCAACCTTGATGCAACCCTTATCTTGCATGTCTGGCTAATTGTGGACAGTTTTTATTTATCCGTAATTAATGGCCAATAGCCTAATTTTATGTTCATATGCAAATTGCGTATTTAGTTTTATTAGAAACTGTTAAACTCCTTTTCAGAGTGACTGTACCATTTTACATTCACATCCTTGCCAACATCTCAACCCAGGCCCAGAAGCCCTATCAAGGTGAGTGGCCCACTCAAGCTCCGACTCCTACCCTGTCCTGTCCTGGCTCTAACCCCCACCCCAGCCTGCACCCCTTCTCATGAAGCTTCTGTTCCCACCCCTCTTCCATCCTCTCCCCCAAAACCAATTCCCTTCTGTGATCTCCCTGCTGTCCTTCCAGGTTCCCAAGACAACCTGAAAGGGAAAAAGAACCCTGTGAGGGAGTTCCAGGAAAAAAGCTTCTCCCTAAAAGACCCCCGCTTCAAGCAAACCTGAGGAAGGAAGTGGGCCAACACTATCTAGCCACTGTAACCAGCTGAATAAGGAACTCAATAAAAATCAGCCACAGCAGGACCAAGTAAGCCAGAAGACCTACCTCCACCATCTCCAGCATTTCCCTGCGCAGCCTGTAATTTCAGGGCAAGGCAAGAGACTCAAATCTATCTGAGAAGTCCCCAAAGGTCTGACCCGCCCCCCACACCCCCGCCGGAGAAATAGCCAACAAGGTCTAGAGTACATTTTGCGCCCCACAGGGTGATGAAAATAAAATGAACTGTTGTAAAATGATGTGTGGGTCTGTATATTCTCAAATGGTGGGGAGGGAGGGAGGAAGGAAGAGGCATTGGTGTGGGAAGGGAGGGAGGTGGGTATTCTGGGTTTGGGGCCAAATTATATATATCAAGTATATCTCAATAAAACTATTTTTAGAAATTATATTCTGTGAAAGTTGTCAGAATCAAAATGGAGTCACTAATGTTAAAAAACCACTGACAAATACAGCTGCAAAAGGTTATGAAGGAAGGGTTATCATGTAAGAATGCCTGATAACAAAAGAGTCTGCAAAACCTACAGCCTTGTACAAAGGCCATTACCACCTTGTGCAAAAAATACTTCTGTGAGGGCATCCGCCTAGCAACTGCTTGTCCAACCTTGGCCTGGCATCACCCTTGTTATTGACCTTTGTAGTCAATGATAATTATTTCCTTCTTCTTTTTTTTTTTTGAGACAGATTCTCATTCTGTCACCCAGGTTGAAGTGCAGTGGCACGATCTCAGCTCACTACAACATCTGCCTCCTGGGCTCAAGCCATCCTCCCGCCTCAGCCTCCAAGTAGCTGGGACCACAGGCCTGCACCACCACATCTGGCTAATATTTTGTATTTTTTGTAGAGATGGGATTTTGCCATGTTGGCCAGGCTGTTCTCGAACTCCTGAGCTCAGGCCATCTGCCCTCCTCGGCCTCCCAAAGTACTAGGATTACAGGTGTGAACTGTCACGACTGGCCTAAGGATAATTATTTCAAAGGAATTATGTAAGTCTCCTCATTTTTTCCTTTTAAAACCTTTGTCTTCCTTTACCTCTCTGAATACACATCATTTACTGTGGCACGTGTAATCCCACTGCAATGCTCTATTCCCAAATTTTCTTTTAAAGAGCCTCTCTCCATATAATTAGGTTGACAATTCCCTGAAGAGAAAAATAACTTTTGAAAAAATAAGGATAAAAGATTGGGGGAAGAGCATTTTATCACAGAAATTATATAGACATACTGGAGTATGGTGGTAAAAATCAAGATTGGCTTTTATTAATTTTATTGTTTTAAAATTATCTGTAGGGATTCAACTTCCACTTCTGGGAAGATGGAGTACTCTCCTATTTCTCCTGCTAAGCACAACTAAATGCCCAGAATGTTATACACAAAACAAGCAGTAAGATGGGTCTGAATGGTAGAGAAAAGAGGAGACTGGCTAGGGACCTTGGAATCCAAGGAACAACATAGCATAGCGGTGAGTTCCCTGTGTTTTCTTTTCTTTCTTTCTTTCTTTCTTTTTTTTTTTGAGACGGAGTCTCGCTCTGTCACCCAGGTTGGAGTGCAGTGGCATGATCTTGGCTGACTGCAACCTCCCCCTCCAGGGTTCGAGCAATTCTTCTGCCTCAGCCTCCCGAGTAGCTGGGATTACAGGCGCACGCCACCACGCCCAGCTAATTTTTGTATTTTTAGTAGAGACGGGGTTTCACCATGTTGGCCAGGCTGGTCTCAAACTCCTGACCTCGTGATCTGCCCACTTCGGCCTCCCAAAGTGCTGAGGTTCCCTGTGTTTTCTTTATGCCTTATATATCCCAGAAATGGAGCTAAATAAGCCAACAGGTACAGGGAGTTGAGGGGAGAAGCCTCAACAAAAGCCTTCTCTCTCTAACCAAAAAATCAGGAAAAGGGTAACCTAGCAAAACAGAAAACTTTTAGACACTAGCTGCTCTACTCTCACCAAATATCAACACATACAAAAAATCTATGGCCCCACTCACATCCACACCAGCAAAGGCTAAGAGGGGAGCCTGGATTGCCACCCTCACTAGGCTATATCAAGGGCTCCAAGTACCCCCTCACCAGCACTGGAGTGGTGTCAGAGGTGACTGAGTAGAGAGCTTGAGCTTTTATTCCCAGCATGTAGTAATGAAGCATTTCCCTCCCCACAGCATGTTGTTTATATAGCTCATGTGGGGAACTTGCACTTCCACTCAAAGATAAAAGTCGCCCTTTCCTCTCCTGACTGGGGTGTCATCAGAGGAGGTCTCATAAAAAGTGAGGACTTTCACCACTGTCCAGGAACAATGAGACCATCCCTACAACCTGTGGTGTCAGCAGAGGCCACATGGGGAAGAGTAATGAGAAACACTCACCCCTCCCAAACAAGGAGGTATCAGTAGAGCCCTAGTATGGGGCCAGAACTCCCACCTAAACCCAGCAGTATTGAGTGGGCTCCCACTTGGGTGTCAATGGAGGCCAAGTGAGGAACTTGATCTTCCATTTCCATATGTCAGTAATGAAGTGGTGCCCTATCTCTTTTGCTAGAGTGATGTCTGAGAAAGCCAGCTAAAACACAAGGTTTAAATAAGATCCAGAATAATATGACATAACAACCAAAATATCAATAGCTCAATCAAAAACCATTCACATAACAGAAACAGGAAGATCTTGAACTGAATAAAAACTCAGTCAGTACACATCAACACCAAGATGATGGACATTGAGAATTATCTGACAAAGATTTTAAATCAGCCATTATAAAAATGCTTCAAAATGCAATTATAAACACATCTGAAACAATTGGAAAAAATAGAATATCTCAGCAAAGAAGTAGCACATATAAAGAAAAATCAATTGATGTTTTTAGAACTGAAAAAAGCAATAACTGAAATGAAAAACTTAATGGATGGGCTAAAAAGCAGAATGGAGATGACGGAGGAAACAATCAGTGAACTGAAAGATAGAACAATAGAAATTTCTCAGTCTGAACAACAGGGAAAAAATACATCAAATAAAAATGAGCAGAGCCTCAGAGACCTGAGGGACCATAACGAAAGATTGAACATTCATGTCACTAGAATACCAGAAAGAAAAGAGAAAGAGAATAGGGCTGAAGAGGTACTCAAAGAAATAATGGCTTAATGCTTTCCAAGTTTAGCAACACTCATAAACCTATAAATTCGAGAAGCTGAATGAATCCAAGGAGAATAAATCCAAGTCAAGATACGTCATAGTCAAACTTCTGAAAATTAGAGACAAAAAAAAATCTTGAAAGCAGCGAGAGAGAAATGACATCTCAGTTTAGAGGGAAAATAATTCAAATGACAGTGAGGTTTGCAACAGAAACCATGAAGCCCAGAAGAAAGAAGCACAACATCTCTCAAGAGCTGAAAGAAAAGAACAGTCAACACAACCCTACATATAGCAAAAATATCTTTCAGGAATGAAGGGAAAATCAAGATATTCCCAAATTAAGGAAAACTAATAGACTTTGTCACCAGGAGATTTACCCTAGAAGAATGGCTAGAGGAAGTTCCCTAAACAGAAAGGAAATGATAAAAAGGGTAATGGGGAATTGGAACATTGGGAAGGAAGAAAGAACATGGTAAACAAAATGTAGATAAATACAATAGACTTTCTTTCTTCTTTGAGTTTTCTAAGTTATGTTTGACAGTCGAGGCAAAAATTATAGAATGGCCTAATATGTCTTTAAATGTATGTATAAGAAATACTTAAGACAATCACATCATAAATGGAGAAGGGTAAAGGGATATGAAGGAAGGTGAGGTTTCTACACTTTACTTGAACTGGTAAAATGTTGACAACAGTAGAGTGAGATAAGCTAGGTATATATAATAACTAAAGCAACCAGTAAAAAGGATATACAGTTGTAAGTTGGCACTCCCATTCTTACAAAATGCTTGACAAACTGAAAACTTTTTCTTACACCCATCAGAGAACTGAGATTGCAGGGCAAACCACTGACTGAAAATGTGGAGCGACTGGTTCACACAAAGAGGAGCAGGTAAGATCTGCTTACCTGTAGCAGAAGCTGCTGGAGCCATAAACTGGTAAGAACATCTAAATGGTGATTTTGATGACTTTCTGAAAGCTGAGTGTGGGGTAATGTAAGTGATAAACTACCTGGGGCTGCAGTCTTAAGGGGCAAACATTACAGGCTTTATCTCCAGGAACCCCACCATATTCTCGCAGTGAAGATCTGAGAAAAGTTGGCCTTGTGGATCTGACACTGGGAGGCAAAGATAAATCATTGTAAAAGAAATGCCCAAGATTTTCCACCTTCACCTCTGAGGTTATATACCCCATTCTGGCTACAAGATAGGCTAACGGCACCTGAGACGCTGAAGCCAAAGCTGAGGAAGAAAGCAAACTCCGCAACAGTTGAGTTGGCCTGGGCACAGTAAATCTGGAGATGACTCATACCTTCAGTGAACTCGTTCACAAAAACACAAATCAACCTCTTTTAGAATCTCAGGGTTCCCGAATACTGCTGAGGGCCCTGTCAAGAGCGAGGGCAGCTAAAAGAAAGTACATGGAGCAGAGGTGGGGCAGGCATTGATCTGGGTGGGTGTTAATCATGGGTAGATGAGATGATCAAGATGGCGCCCTTCCTCCTATAAGGCCCTCTTAGTCCATCACCCTGGGGCTCATTTTGGGTGACCCTATTCTCATTCAGAGGCTGTTTGTCAGCCTGAAGCATTTCCAACCAGAAGCTCCAAATCCCATTTTGATGGTGGAGAGTCTTCATTAAGATTCTTCCATGACCCAACTCCCCAGACTAGTGGTAGTTCACATGCTGGAGGAAAGGCCCTCCAACCAGCATCACTGGTGGCTCCCCATCCATGGAAGAAAATCAAGGTGAACTTGGGTTTAGCTGTGACTTCTTAGACACAACACCAAAAGCATGACTCATGAAAGAAAAAATGGATAACTTAGACATTATTAAAATTAATAACTACTCTCTAAAAAACACTGTTAGGAAAATCCTGCCCATACCGGTGGTAGTTCATGTGCTGATGGGGAAAGCCCTTCATTCCTGGAGGCCCTCTGGCCACTATGTAATTAGTTCAGGCTCATCCCATGATACCTGTCTTCTCCACACTTAGAGTACCTCTGATCTCAGGAAGGAGGGAGACCCCCTTCCTTGCTCCATTAAGTACTCCAAGTCCCACTAGTGGGGGTCTACAGCGAGGGTTTTCTGTCAAGGAACAGGATCTGGAGGACACCTTGCAATGAGCAAAAAAGGAGAGAAGCCAAGGCCCCAAAACCCCTCTTCCCACCAATGGCTCTCACCCAGATGAGGAGGAGGTAGCACTTTACTCCCATCACATGTGGACAACCTGGCACTGCCTCTAAGTTGATAGAGACCTCCTGGGCCTGGTCAGGGTGTTAGCCCAACAAGCCTTGTCAGAAGTCTCAGGAATCATACTGTCAGGTCACACTTCTCTGAGCTCCAGGGCTCTAGAGATCAGCAGGGGCTGTGGTGAGAGATGGAATGAACAAATCACTGGTCCAGGCAGCCTTCTCCTAAGCCTCCTCCTGTCTAGCCACCAGGTCTAGCTCTTTGAAAACGAAGACCCCTGAGGGTGGGAAGGTCATCTGTGTTGGAGACAAGGGGCAGAAGGAGCTGCCATTTCCCCCTTCCTCCTTGACTTGTATCATCTCCAACCCTTCTGGTACTGACCAATGTCCCTAGCCTCTTTCAGTCCTTTCCCCTCCAGCATTATCGATGCTCTCCTTGACCCATACTGCTTGCTCTCTAGATGATAGAAACATATGAAGGCTCATTTTTACCATTCCATGTATTTTATGTATATTTGAAAAAAGTTACAGGAAACCTTTAAAAAGTAGTTCTTTAATCCTCCTGGAATTAATTTTTGTGTGTAATTCCAAGGAGGGTTCTTGTTACATTTTGTTTTCTACATGGATATTTAGTTGTTTCACTGTCATTTATTAAAAGTTATAGTTTTATTATTGCCCTATCTCTCCTGCTCTTTTTAAATATATAAATCAAAAGTCCATGTATTAAGTGGGTGTGTTTCAGGAATCTCTATTCAGCTCCATTGTTCTATTTGTTACACCTTGTACCCATACTACAAATTCTTTATCACTAGAGCTTTCTAGTCATTCTTACTATCTGGTGGAGGAACTCCTTTTATCTTCTTTTATCTCAAGAATGTCTTGGCCATGCTTAGCCTATTGCATGTTGTGTTAATCTGTTCTCACATTGCTATAAAGAAATATTTGAGACTGGATAATTTATAAAGAAAAGAAGCTTAATTGGCTCACGGTTCTGCAGGCTGTACAGGAAACATGATGCTGGCATCTGCTCAGCTTCTGGGGAGGCCTCATGAAACAATCATGGCAGAAGGTGAAGCGGAAGCAGGTACGTCACATGGCCAGAGCAGGAATAAGAGAGAGGCAGGGGAGATGCCACACACTTTTAAACAACCAGATCTCACGAGAACTCACTCACTATCACGATAACAGCACCAAGGGGGTGGCGCTAAACCATTCATGAGAAATCCAGCCCCATGATCCAATCACTTCCCACCAGGCCCCACCTCCAACAATGGAGATTACAATTCAAAATGAGATTTGGGTGGGGACACATATAGAAACTATATCACATGTCAATTTAAATTTCAGAGTCATCTTGCAATATTTTACACACACATGTATGTAAGCACACACATTCACACATAAAGACTTTAATTTTTAAATTGGGATTGCAATCATCTGTACATTACTTCTGGAAATAATTAACATGTCTACAATATTGAATACTCACATCCATTTATTTTATATTTAAAGCCTTAATTAGTTCATTAATTTAATTTCCATGAAGTTCTTAGGCTTTCTTTGGTTAGATTCATTTTACAAGGTATATTTTGTTTATTCTCATTTTCATACTGTTACTGCAGAAACTTAATTTTTTTGTAAATTGATATTTGTCCTGCAACTTTTATATATATTTTATTAAATGAATAATTTACTCTTATTTTGAATTTTCTTTATACACAATCTAAAAACCATCTGTTAATTAGGCAAATTTTGTTTATTTTTTATCTCTAGCCCTTTGATTTCATCTGCTTAGCATTACTGCACTGGCTAGTACCTCTATTACAGTATTGAATAGAAATGGTGATAGCAAGAATCATTGTCTTTTACAATTTCAAAGTAAAAGTAACTTTCAACTTTTTGATGTTTGCTGTAGTTTTTTGGTAAATACTCTTTAAGTAGTTTGCTAACAGTTTTTCATTGTTAATCAACCTGTAGCTTTAGACTTAGAGAAAAATAGAAAACCTAGTATTGAGTGCCTTATGCTCTACACCGTTTCCTCTATTATTAACATTTTCCATTAGTATGGTACATTTGTTACAACTATTGAACCTATATTAACACATTGCTATTAACCAGAGCACATACTTTATTCAGATTTCCTTTGTTTTTACCTAATGCATTTTTTTTTCTGTTCCAGAGTTTCATGTAGGACCATCGTTTCACATTTACTCGTCATGTCTCCATAGGCTCCTCTTAGCTGTGGCAGGTCTTAGACTTTCCCTACGTTTGATGACTTTGATCTTCACAGTTTCGAGTAGCATTGGTCAGCTATTGTGCATAAAGCCCTTCTACTGGGATTTGTCTTATACGTCTGTCATGATTAGAATGAGAGTATGAACTTCCAGGGGGAAGATCTCAGAGGTAAAATGCCATTCTCTTCACATCATGTAAAAGGAACCTATTAGAAATATGATTTCTCATGGTTGATGTCAGCTTCGGTACACCACTTGTTCTGTAAAGGTACAGCAATCTACAAAGTATGATATTGCCAAAAGAATGGACACACATCAATGGAACAAAATAGAAATAGATCCATAAAAATATAGTTTACTGATTTTTTGACAAAGATGCAAAGATAATCCTATAGAGAAATGATAGTCTTTTCAACAAAGGGCACCTGAACAAATGGATCTCAATATGCAAAGAAATGAACCTAGATAAAACTTTATATCTTTCACAAAAAATAACCTCAAAGTATATTATAGACTCAAATTTAAAATGCAATATTATAAAACTTCTTGAAGAAAATAGGGGAAGATCTACATGACCTGGGTTTTGGTGATAAATTTTTTAGATACAACATCAAAAGGGTGGTCTATGAAAGGCAAAATTGATAAGTTAGACTTTCTAAAAATAAAAAAGAAACCTCGAAAGCTCTTTGAAAGACATTGTTAGGAAAAAGAAAAGAGAAGCCACAGACTATGACCAAGTGTTTGCAAAACATATATCGGATAGAAGATCTGTATCCAAAATCTACAAAGGAGGCTTACAACTGAACAATAAGAAAACAAATTTATAAAAACTCAATCAATGGGCAGAAACTCTGAACAGACACATCGCCAAAGAAGATATACAGATGGGAAATAAGCATAAGACAAGACCATCAACATCATTCTTCGTTAGTGAATTGTGAATTAAATAACAATGAGATACACAGCTATTAGAATGTCTAACAATACCACTTGCTGGCAACACTAAGGAGCAACAGACACTCTTACTCATTGCTTCTGGGAATGCAAACTGGTACAGCCACTTTCAAAGATGGTTTGTCAGTTTTTTGTTTGTTTGTTTGTTTTCAACAAAGCTGAACACAAGTCTTGCTATTCCTAGGTATGCATCCAACTAGTTTGCAAACTTGCTTCCACACAAAAAACTTGCATACAAGGGTGTATGGCAACTTATTTCATAATTACTAAAAACTGGAAACAACCAGGATGTTCTTCAGTAGGTGAACGGATAAACAAACTGTGGTCCAACAATAATAGAACATTATTCGTGAAAAAAAGAAATGAGCTATCAAGCAACAGAAACACATGAGCTTAGCGTTAAGTGAAAGAAGCACTATAGTGAAAAGCACTGCAGTCTAGTTGATAAGTCTGTTTCCCACAAGGATGGGGGTTAACAGTTCTGGTTCTACTGTGCATATATATACATACACACACATATACGTATTTGTATGTATGTATATATCTACCCATGGATCAACTACTTTATTTATTTATTTTTATTTTTTATTTTATTTTTTTGAGATGGAGTCTCGCTCTGTTGCTCAGGCTGGAGTGCAGTCGCACGATCTCGGCTCACTGCAAGCTCCGCCTCCCAGGTTGACGCCATTCTCCTGCCTCAGCATCCCGAGTAGCTGAGACTACAGGCAAGCTGCAAGCTGTACTACCTGCAGTTGAGGGAGGGGTGGTACGAGCACCCGCTTGGCCACCCCAGTTGGTATCTCACTAGGGTGCATGCCCCCTAAGTCCACTGGCTCTGAGCTTAGCCCAGCACCAGGACTTGCCCAAGAATTGTAATCCTTGTGGCCTAGACTGCCTTTCATTTAGCACCACGGACCACTTTAGTCCACAGTGGTGAGGCTTGTGGAACTCAGGTTCTGACCACTGGTTAGGGCTGGTCTAAATGCTCCCTCTGTGGGTACCGGCTGAGTTATGCCTGGTGTTGCTTTCTGCTGTAACAGGGCAGTAGTGAGTTCCAACGCAAAGTCCCACAATCACTGCCCTCTCTCTCCCTTAAACACACAGATTCTCTTTCCGTGCCACACAGCAACTACTGGGAGATGGGGCAGGGATGGTGTTAGCAATTCAAGACTGTCTCTCCTACCATCTTCAGTGCCCCTTTCAGTGGTATGAAGTTAGAACCAGGTACTATGATCATTCACCTGATTTTTCATTCTCATTAAAGTGCTTCTTTGTGTGGATAGTTGTTCAATTTGATCTTCCTGCAGGGAGGACAATTGGTGGAGGCTTCTGTTTGGCCTTCTTGTTCTGCCTTCAAGCCAAAAGAATTATTTCACATTAGAAACAATTCAATTGTAATTCTGTACATACAAGATAGAGTAGAAAAAACATTTGGTCATTTCGATGAGTACAGAAAAAGCCTCTGAAAGAAATACTATGTGATTTCAAATTGACAACTTTCAGCAAACTAAGATGAAAAGGAACTTCCCTTTCCTAAAATTGGCAGCAACCATATTTAAATATGAACTTTTAGAAGAAGCATTCACATTCATGTCAGACACAAGTCGTTGACATATGCTGTCATGGCTACTGTCCATAGCTGCAGTGGGTAGCAAAAATGCAAAAGAGTCAGAGCTATGGATATCAAAATGAAAAAGAGGTATGAAGATTGAAAAGAAAGATAATATTTGTTGAGAATATGATTATCTATCAAGAAAATTCAAAGGAAAAGACACATGGAATATTCAAATAAATAAGAGGCTTCAGAAACCAGCAAATAGTAGTTCACTACAGCAAAATCAAGAGGCTTGCCACACAAAAGCAACTTAGAACATATGAAACAGAAAATATAGCATTCAAAAAAGCAATAAAATCCAAAATTAAACAGAAGCCTCACAAAAATATATAAGATCTTCACGGAGGCAACTGTATAAGTTTACTGATAGATTCTGGAAAAAATTTTCCAAATAAATGGAGGAGTGTCATAAATTCATTGATGGAAAACAGAATACTGCAAGGATGTCAATTCTGCTTAAATTATATACAGAGCTAGTGCCTTACCTGTAGCTGCCAAAATAACAATCAAGTTCAGGCTGCTGTGTTCTGTTCCCAAAATCAATTCTGGAAAAGTATAGAATGGAAAAAGAAAAAAAAAGGATTAGCAATAAAATCTAAACCACAAAACAGAGAAATCCCTGGGGAGACTAAGACTGCATTGAACTGCTACTTGTGTTTGGGGCATGGGGTAGTGGCAGAGAAGTTGGGGAGGTCTGTAGCCTGCGCTGACAGCACACTACAGAATGGGTAGAAGGAAAAATTATTTTAAACTCCCACCCCATATTATTGCCTAATATGAGGCAGCATCTCACAATGTGATGCCAGTAGCCCTGGGGTAATATCAGGACACCAGGAATCTTGGTGTGATTGAGACATGATGGCTCCAGAGTTCTGTTAATACCCACTTGACACCAACTTAGTAGGTGAGGCCTGGCCTTCCAAAAATGTAATTTAAATAGAATATAAAGAATGAACTAGAAATGGAATAGCATGAGTGAATCATACATAGTATGAGTAGATATTGTTTAATGAAATAAGTATATGTAATATATGTACATATATATCTGTAAAGATATATAGTGTGAATACATAAAATTATTCATATATAACAAACTTATATACATACATGTTTATGTATCTAAACATAAGCATAGTCTACATATATGACATATAATGTACACATACAATTAGCAGAAATGTAAAATTTATTTCTTACTGTGTGAATGCGGATTAAAATATGCACGTCACTAAACAGTACAATTAAATGTCACAAAAATTCCAAATGCAGGACTCCTCAATTCTCTTGCTGCTGCTCAGCCTCTTCAGTGTAAAAATAAATGCTTTAGGACAAAAGGTTTGACAAGTCGACTTCTGGCTGGGGAGGAGCCCCCGTGGGAAGGTGTGTGTCTTCTCCCAGAGGCCACTACAATCGCAGGCACTGCAGCTCCCCAGGGAGCACCTGGCCTGGGACCCGCAGCCATTCTCTGCAAGGGGTACAGCTGGGCGAATACTCAGAGGTGACAGAAACAGAGCATCCCCCACCCATCACTTCATCAAAGAGCCAGGAGCCAAGAGGAGAACCCTCCTGAGTAAGGATTGAGGGTCCACTCACCCCACATAGAGGGACCACAGAATCCAGTTCAGCCCCTCCTGTCAGCCCTGGAAGACCCTGACAATGTTGTCGCCCCGACCATATCCCTCCCTCCACTGCCACCTCAGGGGACTCGGAGTCAGTGCTTTGGTCTGAGGGGAGCAGACACCATCCACACAGGATGGGATCCAGGCTCTGCCAGGCATCAAGGTCAGGACCTTGAGGATGACTGAGAGTGCCCACCCCCTCGACCTCGACCCCCCACCCCCACCCCCATTTCCACCCCCACTCATAGCAGAATCCGCTATGACACCAGCAGTCAACCCAAGGAAGCCCCAGGCTTGGTGGCCGGATGTGACGGCTAGGGGGTCAGAGAAGCGAGGGTCTCGGTCTGAGGGGCGGCTTGAGATTGGCAGAGGGAAGTGGACCCAGGCTCTGTGAGAAGACAAGGTGAGAGGCTGAGGGAGGACTGAGGACGCCTCCACCCCAGATAGAGGACCCCAAATAATTCAGCGTCACCCCTGCTGCCAGCCCTGGACCACCTAGGGGAGTACTTCTCAGTCTGGGCCACCCCCCGGCGCCCTGCCAACCCCCGCCGCTTATGCCACAGGGGACTCTGGAGTCAGAGCTTGGTGTGACCAAGGCAGGGGTGGTTAGGAGAAGGCAGGGCCCAGGTTCTGCCAGGTTTCAAGGTGAGGACCCTGAGGAACAACTGAGGGCCTCCCTCACCCCCAAGCCCACCGTCACCGCCACGACCTACAGCCTCAGGATCCCCATCCCCATCCCCATCTTCACCCCCATCCTCGCCCCCACCCCTCCTCCATTCCCATTCCCATCCCCACCCCCACCCCGACAGAATCAGGTTTTGCCCCTGCTGTCAACGCAGGGAAGCCCCGGGTGCCCGGATGTGATGCCACTGATTTGCGCCTCAGGGATCAGAGGGAAGCGAGGGCCTGGTTTTGAGGGGTGGCTTAAGATCGGCGGAGGAAAGCGGGCCCGGGCTGTGTGTGAAGGAAAGGTGAGGCGTTGAGGGAGGACTAGGGACACCCCGTTGCAACCCAAGATAGAGGACCCTAAAAAATCCAGCACCACCCCTGCTGCCAACCCAGGACCACCCGGGGGCGGACTTCTCAGGCTGGGCCGCCCCCAACTCTCTGCCACTTAAGCCTCAGGGGACTCTGGAGTCAGAGGTTGGTGTGATCAGGGCAGGGCTGCCTAGGAGAGGGCAGCAGCCAGGCTCTGCCAGCCATCACGTTCAGGACCCTCAGAGAGGGTTGAGGGCTCCACAGAGCGGGGCTCTGTCCTTGCTGTCAGCCCTGGGAATTTCCAGGCATGGTGGCCAGGCATGTGGATCCTGGCATGGGCATCCAGGGCTGACGGAGGGAAGGGGCTTCATATCATGAGCACGGATTGCGGGGAGCAGAGGGAGGGCCCAGGCCCTGCTGGGAAACAAGGGAGGCCTGAGAGAGGCCCGAGGGCACCCAGGACCCCAGGACAGGGGGCCCACCCACCCCCTGTTTGAGACTGAGGTGCCTCCTCATTTGGCCTTGGGAATCTGAGGGATGAAGACTCAGGTCAGCAGGCTGGGGTGGGGCCCAAGCCTGCCGGGAGTCAAGGGCAGGAAGAAGAGGGAGGACTGACGGGAACTTGGAGTCCAGATCAGTGGGGACCTCGACCCTGGGAGGTCCCAGGCACAGTGGCCACATGTGGCCTGGACTCGCTGTGCCTTTGGGGTGTCAGGGAGGAGAGGACTGTGGTCTGGGGAGTGGGGCCTCAGGTCAGCAGAGAGAGGAGTCCCAGAGCTCTGAAGGATGACTCAGAAGACCTTTCTTCCCAGACTTAGGAAACCTGCCCCTACTGTCAGTCCTGGGAGGCCTGGGCAGGACTGTGGGGAAGGGATGCTGTCCCACCACTTTCTCCCTGAGGGTATCAGGGACATGGTGGCCTTGGCATACAGTTCAGCAGGAGGGAAAGAGCCGGGCCCTGTCGGGACTCAATCTGAACACCTGGAAGACACCCAGACAGCGGAGGGCCCCCTGAAACTTGCACCTTCTGTCAGCTTTGGGAATCCCACGCAGGGGTGACCGTGTGGTGCCCCCTCACCTCTACCTCCTGGGTCTCAGTGAGGTGGGGGCCTTGGTCTGAGGGGCGTCCTCCGCTCAGCAGAGGTAGCCACACCTGGTCAGCACCGGATAGAGTCCAGGGTCTTCCAGGAGTGAAGGGGAGGAAGTTTGGTAAGGACTGAAGGTAAGAAGTTACCTCCACATCATAAAGAAGAAGGGAACTTGCAGAGCCGCCCAGCTTCCCCTGTTCTCAGCCCTGGGAGGCCACAGGCAGGGATGGCATGTGGCATGCTCTCATTTCTGCCATGTGGTTGGAGGTGGGAGGTCTCAGGGAGGTGAGGACCTTGGTCCCAGTGACACTGACAGGCCAGTAGAGGGAGCCACACCTGGTCAGCAGAGGGAGGAGTCCCAGCATCTGCAGGACCCACGGTGTGCACCTTTCATGAGGACTGGAGGTACCCCCAGCCCAGAAAGAAGAGACCCCGCAGAGTCTGCTGTCCTTGTTCTTAGCTCTGGGGGGACCTGATCCAGGGTGGCCCTAAGTGGCAATCTCACTTGTGCCACGGGCAGGAAGTTGGAGAACCCTCAGGGAGATGTGGTCTTGGTGTAAAGGGGAGATGTCTGCTCATCTCAGGGGGCTGAGGGTTGAGGAACGGCAGGTCCCGGCAGGAGTAAAGATGAATAACCCACAGGAGAACTTTGGAACTTCCACCCCAGAACAGAAGGGGGCAGCCCCTGGTGTCAGCCCTGGACACCCCATGGAGGGGTGACGGGATGTGAGTCCTCCTCATGTCGGCTTTGGGATCTCAGGGAGGTGAGGACCTAGTTCTCAGTGGGTTACTCAGGCCAACACAGGGACCCCCATCTGATTAACAGACAGAGCGGACCCAGGATCTGCTAAGACCCCAGGTGAGGAACCTGAGGGAGGATTAAGGGTACCGCTGGACCAGAAGGCAGATGGAGGCCCCACAGAAATCTGCCTTGCCCCTGCTGTTTCCGCAGAGAGCATGGCCAGAGCTGTCAGTTGAGGCCCCCTCTCTTATACCAGGATCAGTGGTCTCAGGGAGGGGGAGGCCTTGGTTGGAGGGGCTGCATTTAGGTCAGAGGGAGGGTCCCAGGCTCAGCCAGGAGTCAAGGTGAGGACTAAGTGGACCCCACACGGCGAATGCACATGACCCAGCCCTGCCCTGCCTTTTCTGTCAGGCATGGGAAACTGCAGGGAACAGTGGGTGGATGGAATCCCCTCACTTCCTTTACTGGTGTCTCTTGGAGATAGGGATTTGATTTAAGGTGGTGGCCTCAGGTAAACAGGGAGAGTCCCAGGATCTGCAGGCATCAAGATGTGGACCAAGCAGGTTCCTCATCTCAGGACACATGGACCCAGCTGAATATGGCCACCTCTTACTGTCCTTGCCTGGAAGCCCTGAGCAGGTGTGGCCAGATGTGGGTCCCCTCATGTCCTTCTGTTCCATATCAGGGATATGAGCTCTTGATCTGAGAGTTTCTCAGGCCAGCAAAGGGGCAGGATTCAGGCCCTGCTAGGAGAAACGTGAAGGTCCTGAGTGAGCATAGAAGGGGCCATCTATGCAAAAGAGTGAGGGAACTGACAGAGTCCAGCCCACCCTCCTGACAGCACTCGGGGGACTGAGGCTGTGCTTGCAGCCTGCACCCTGAGGGCCCCTTGATCCCTCTTCCAGGAGCTCCAGGAACTTGGAGGTGAGGCTTTAGTCTGAGTCAGTGTCCTCAAGCCACAGAGCAGAGGAGACCCAGGCAGTGCCAGCAGTCAAGGTGAGGTGTTCACCCTGAATGTATACCAAGGGTCCCACCCACCCATAATGGATGGGACCCCAGAGCGCCCAGCCCCACCTGCCCTACCCTCAGCCTTGGGGCCTTGGCCTCTGCTGGCTGGCTGTAACCTGAGAAGCTGTGTCACTTCTTTCTTCAGATTCTCAGGGGACAGGCTGACCAGGAGGACAGGAGCCCCAGGAGGCCCCAGAGGAGCACTGAAGGAGAAGATCCGTAAGTAGGCCTTTGTTAGAGCCTCCTCCAAAGTCTGGTTCTTAGCTGAGGCCTCTCACACGCTCCCTCTCTCCCCAGGCCTGTGCATCCCCATTACCCAGCTCCTGCCCACACTCCCGCTTGCTGCCTTGACCAGAGTCATCATGCCTCTTGGACAGAGGAGTCAGCACTACATGCCTGAGGAAGGCCTTGAGGCCCAAGGAGAGGTCCCTGGCCTGGTGGGTGGGCAGGGTCCTGTGCCTGAGGAGGAGGAGGCTGCCTCTTCCTCCTCTAGTCTGATCATGGGCACCCTGGAGGAGTTGTGTGCTGCTGAGGCACTGAGTCCTCCCCAGAGTATGCAGGGAGCCTCCTCCTCCCCCACTACCATCGATAACACTCTATGGAACCAATCCGATGAGGGCTCCAGCAGCCAAGAAAAGGAGGAGCCAATCACCTTGCCCATCCCAAGTGTCATGGAGTCCTTCCTCCGAGAGGCACTCTGACAAGGTGTCTGATTTAGTTAGTGTCCTGCTCCACAAGTTTCGAATTAAGGAGTCAGTCACAAAGGCAGAAATGGTGGATAGTGTCATCAAAAATCACGAAGACTACTTCGCTTTCATTTTCAAGGAATCCTCCGAGTACATGCAGCTGATCTTTGGCATCGACGTGAAGGAAGTGGTCCCCACCGGCCATTCCTATGTCCTTGTCACCTCTCTGGGCCTCTCCTATGATGGCATGCTGGTTGATGACCCGAGCAAGCCCAAGACGGGCCTCCTAATAATTGTCCTGTGTGTGATCTTCACGGAGGGCAACTGCGCCCCAGAGGAGGTTATGTGGGAAGCCCTGAATGTGATAGAGGTGTATGCTGGGAGGGAGCACTTCATCTATGGGGAGCCCAGGAAGCTGCTCACCCGGGATTGGGTGCAGGAAAATTACCTGGAGTACTGGCAGGTGCCCAGAAGTGATCCTGCATGCTATGAGGAAGAGAGAGTTTCAGCAGGCGATGCAGCCAGGGCCAGTGGAGGGTGGGGTGGACTAGTGCACGTTCCAGGGCTACATCCAGCAGCTTCCCCACCCTGTGTGACATGAGGCCCATTCTTCACTCTAAAGAGAGCAGTCAGCGTTCTCACTAGTGAAAGGCACGGTGGGTGGAAGGGAACTCAGTGTATAATGTCTTTGTGTTCTGTTCTATTTGGATGAGTTTGCTATTTTGTAAAACATATTGGGAAGCCCTTCATCTGGTTTTGCGGTTTGGAACAAGATGCCATGGCATTGGAATAGGTGTTTCCTTGGAAAATGAAATACATTAGCAAAAAAATTGATGGGGTCATGAAACAGAGAAATAAAAGGAAAAGATAGGCTGCTCTGCCCGTAGAGTAGCTATTCTTTTATTTACTTTCTTAATAAACTTGCTCTCACTTTACTCTATGGATTCACCTCGAATTCTTTCTTGCACGAGCTCCAAGAACCCTCTTTTGGAGTCTGCACTGGGACCCCATTCCAGTAACATCTTTCCGGTGAACCCTGAAGGGACAATACTGAGGAAACCCCCTGACCCAAAGGAAATAGACGGCAGCACTGACTGGCAGACTTTGGAGTCAGGAAAACTTTTCTTCTGGGCTATTGACAGCTTTTAACAATTCAGTAAAGTATACTTCTGTGAACAAAATTCAGAGCATATTTGTTTCTCTCTACCTAATTTCTCTAGAATTTGGAAACTGCTTGTGAATATTCTTAACTTATAGCAATATAGTTATTTGCATAAGTGCAATAAGAATCTGTTTTCTTTTGCAACAAGACACAATTGGAGAAACTGGTTATTTTACCAAGGCTTTGACTGGAATGGTGTTCTTTCCTTTAAGGGATCAAACTTGACTTATAGAGCCAATAAAAACCCCTTGGGAAAACTAGCCTCATAACTTGTCTACACAGTCCCTGTGCAGGGTTACTGACCTGTGGTAAGTAAAGAATGTCATTATCTGACAGGCCCAGGAGCCCCAAGTTATCTTGGGACCTCAAGAGGAGAGGATTTTACCCAACTCAGAGGTATTTGACGGCACCCACCCCAGGCTGGACTCAGCTTTAAAAAGGTCTTATCTGAGATTCCTTCTATGGAACAGAGCTCCATGAAAGCCATTTATTTTTATTTTTTATTTTCATTTATTTATTTATTTATTTATTTATTTATTTATTTATTTATTTATTTATTTTCGAGACCGAGTTTTGCTCTTGCTGCCCAGGCTGGAGTGCAGGAGGGTGATCTTGGCTCACTGCAACCTCCGCCTCCTGGGTTCAAGCGATTCTCTTGCCTCAGCCTCCCGAGTAGCTGGGATTACAGGCACCCACCACTACGCCCGGCTAATCTTATATATATATATATATATATATATATATATATATACACACACACACACACACACATATATATATATACACATATATATGTGTATATATGTGTGTGTGTGTGTCTGTGTGTGTGTGTGTGTGTGTGTGTGTGTATATATATATATATAATTTTTTTTTTCTTTTAGTAGAGATGGGGTTTCAACATGTTGGCCTGGCTGGTCTTGAACTCCTGACCTCAGGTGATCCGCCCACCTCAGCCTCCCAAAGTGCTGGGATTACAGGCGTGAGCCACCATGCCCGGCCCATCAAAGCCAGTTTTAAAAGAGCTTATGTGAGGCTGGGCGTGGTGGCTCATGCCTGCAGTCCCAGCACTTTGGGAGGCTGAGGCAGGAGGACTGCTTGAGCCCAGGAGTTCGAGACCAGACTGGGCAACATTGGGAGACTGCCTCCTATTAAAACATAAAATAAAAATAAAAATATAAAGAGCGTATGTGAAAAATAATTATTCTTGCTGCACTTTATACAAATGATCAGGCCAAGTATAATAAAACAAACCAGTCTTACCATGATTTGTCTTTAGTAAAAATGGGAGACTGGAGAGAGAAAAAAATATGATGTTGCAAAAACTATGGTGCACCTGTTATTAGATTCTAGTTTCATTCGTTGTTTTAAAGTTTTTTTCTGCAATTTAGACTCACTTTTCTTATTCCTGTGAACCAATCAGTGATCCCTGACTGCTATTTAGAAGAAGCAAGAGGGATGGGTAATGTAAAAATCTGGATCAATATTCTAGTTCTGGGCACATATTGAAATCAGATAGTGACCCCGTATCAGCCTGGTTCTAACAGTTGCCCAGTTCAAGGAAAGCCTTCTTACTTAGTTTACCTTGGGATAATTTTACTTATTTTGCTTTACTGTTGTGGAATACACTGGTGTTGTATTCTTGGTGCAGGAGTGCAGGATAAGCTTACTCAATGTTTTCTTAAACTGAACACTTATTAATCTTCCAGATAACATGTTTTGTCAGAACTCAGAGTTGTGTATGACCCTCACCAAACTGACGCTTTCTGACTGAGCTCCTCTCTGTCCTGAATTCAAAAGACTCTCATAATTAGGCAGTAATATCATCACCCCTATTCAGCCTGAAGAAGTTACAGAAGATGGATCTTCATCCCTCTACAACCCTTAGGAATAAAGGTTCTCAGATAAAAGGGAGGAGGGAAATGTCAGAGGTGTTTGAACCAGAGCAACTCCATCTTGAACAGGGTCTGGGTAAAATAGGGCTGAGACCTACTGGGCTACATTCCCAGGAGGTAAGGCATTCTTAGTCACAGGATGAGACAGTATGTCGGCACAAGATACAGGTCATAAAGACCTTGCTGATAAAACGGGTTGCAGTAAAGAAGCCAGCCAAAACCCACCAAAGCCAAGATGGCAATGAGAGTGACCTCTGGTCATCCTCACTGCTCATTATATGCATTAGCATGCTAAAAGACACTCCCACCGGCACCACGACAGTTTACAGATGCCATGGCAACGTTTGGAAGTTACCCTATATGGCTGAAAAAGGGGAGGAGCCCTCAGTTCCAAGAATTCCCCACTTTTTTCCTGGAAAACTCATGAATAGTCCACCCCTTGTTTAGCATATAATCAAGAAATAACCATAAAAATGGGCAACCAGCCGGGCGCCATGGCTCACGCCTGTAATCCCAGCACTTTGGGAGGCCAAAGGGGGTGGATCACGAGGTCAGGAGATCGACAGCATCCTGGCTACCACAGTGAAACTCTGTCTCTACTAAAAATACAAAAAATTTGCCGGGCATGGTGGCAGGCACCTGCAGTCCAGCTACTTGGGAGAATGGGGCAGGAGAATGGCATGAACCAGGGAGGCGGAGCTTGCAGTGAGCCGAGATCACGCCACTGCACTGCAGCCTGGGCGACAGAGTGAGACTCTGTCTCAAAAAAAAAATAAAAATAAAAATAAAAATAAAAATAAGAAGGCGACCAGCAGCCCTCAGGGCTATGGAGTAGCCATTCTTTTATTTCTTTACTTTCTTAATAAACTTGCTCTCACTTTACTCTAAAAAATAGAAATAAAAGGAAAAGACAGTTAATTCTCAGCTTTTTATTCATGTGCTGTTCTATAAAATTAAGCCATATATGTGTACCTGGATTTTCTTGGCTTATTCAAGGATGTAGGAGAAATTATATCTTAAATGGAAGTCCTGGTCACTGGCTCATTCTTTCTCAAACACTCACTGAGCATCTGCTCTTTGGAAAGCACTGTGTTACTGGAGATACTGGCATAAGTCAGACCCACCCCTACCCGAAGGGTGGTAGGGTCTAGGAGCTATAGTCATAAAATTAAGTTGGTGAGATTTCCTCTAAGACCTAGAGGAAAAGTAAGAGAGGGCAGAATGTGTGGTGCTCCCGGTGAGAGTGGTGGAGTGTAAATGCCCTGAGCCAGGGCCTTTTGGGCTTTGGGAAACTGCAGTTCCTTCGGAGGAAGCTGATTCTAATGAAGCTGGTGGGTCCAGGGTCAGATTCTCAGGGAGAGAAAAGCCTGGAATGGAAAACTGCTCTGAGCAGTTCATTATGGTTGGTGGATGAACATAGACGAGTTTCCACCTGGGGCAGGAATGGAAGGCATCCTGTGCTCTTATCCCAGTGCGGTTGAATACAGCCCAAGAGCTAGGTGATGGATACTCATCATCTGCAAGGGTTTCCTGGGAGGTAAGGGTGAATCTCTCAGGAAGGGAGGCCCAGAAGCCACTGGCAAGGTACTCTTCTGCCTTAGTGGGAGAGCTAGAGCTGACTCTAGTCAAATGGCATTCTAATTAGGTTATCTCAAGTGTAATTTGGCCATTCCTGAGCATGGGCTAGATTTTGCGTGGTGATTATATGAATGAAAATAGTGGTTGAGATGGAAAAGCAGCTGAGAGGGAGGAAAAGAGTTGGTCCTGGACTCACGTTCCAGGAACACTGAGCTGCAATCCAGCTGAAGAAGACTCCTCCACACACAAATTAAACAATAGATCCTCTAGGAGGGAAATTCTACTGTGTTTTGTCTATGAAGCAACACTTTGGGCTGAGTTGGTATTCTATTCTCTGTACTGTTGTGCTACGTACTCTGAGGTTTCCTAGATAACAATAACAACAGCAACAACAAAATTCCCAGAGGCAACTATGGTAGGATCTGAGTTCCAAATAGTAACACAAATAACTGCCAAACATTAACGATCTAATATATGCCAGGCCCTGAGCCAAGTGCTTTACTTACATTGCACACACTCCAAAAGTCCTATAAGACAGACTTTATCAAACCTGCTTCACAGATGAAGAACCTGATGCTCATGCGGCTTGATGATTTCCCCATAATTACATGGCTAATAAGCAACACGGTTGGGATTGCATCCCTGCTAGATTAGGATGGGCCCCAATCCAATATGACTGGTGTCCTTATAAGAAGAGGACATTAGGACACAGACACACACAGAGGAAAGACCATGTGAAGACACAGGAAGAGAATGGCCATCTACAAGTCAAGGAGACAGGCCTCAGGACAACTCAACCCTGCCCACACCTTGAGCCTGAACTTGTAGCCTCCGGGACTGGGAAAATACATTTCTGACGCTTAAGCTCCCCCAGTCTGTGGTACCTTGTTATGATAGCCAAAGCAAACTAATACACATGGTCCGAATTCATCTGAGTGTATGTCATTCCTTCGCGTCCCAACCTGAAGCAGACCTTCGTCTTGCTATTTACTTCTCAGGAATCCACGTCTCTCAGGCAACCAAAAGAAGGACCCTGTGGTCAAGCTACAAAAAGTATGCCTAAAGAAGTGCTATGGACTGAAATGTGCTCCCCTCCAAAAAAAAAAAAAAATGTATATGTTGAAGCTCTAAGTCCCAATGTGATGGTCTGGAGATGGGGCCTTTGGGAGGTAATTAGGGTTAGATGAGCTCCTGAGAGCGTAGGCCCTCATGATTGGATTAATGTCTGTATTCGTTCATTCTTGCGTTGCTATAAAAAAATACCTGAGACTGGGTAATTTATTAAAAAAAAATAGGTTTAATTGGCTTACGGTTTGCAGGATGTACAGGAAGCGTGGCAGCATCTGCTTCTGGAGAGGCCTTAGGGAGCTTTTACTTATGGCAGTAGGCAAAGAAGGAGCAGGCTCTTCACTTGGTGAAAGCAGGAGCAAGAGAGACGGGGGGGGCATTGCCACACACTATTATATGACCGTATGTCGTGAGAAATCACTCACTATCATGAGCACAGTACCAAGGTGATGGTACTAAACTATTAATGAGAAATCTGCCCCCATGATCCAATCACCTCCCACCAGGCCCCACCTCCAACACTGTGGATTACAATTCAGCGTGAGATTTGGTGGGGACACTGATCCAGACCATATCAGTGTCCTTATAGGAAGAAATGCCAGAGAGCTTGCACATTTTTCTCTTTCTCTCTCTGCCATGTGAGGACTCACAGAGAAGGTGGGCATCCATAAGCCAGAAAGAAGACCCTCACCAGACACCCACCATACTGGCATTCTGACTTTTGGCTTCCCAGCCTCCAGAACTGGGAGAAAATAAGCATCTGTTGTGTAAGACCCCCAGTCTATAGCATTTTGTTACAGCAGCATGAAATGACTAAGACAAGAAGGAAGGTGACAATGAGAACCAACACAATTTAGGAATCGTCTGTGGTTCCTTGAGAGCCAACTCTGTCCAGGTGCCAGCATTTCTGTGCATTCCCAGCACTTTCCCGAATTATAGCACCCTTCCACAATGGTCTTGCCCCATGTGCCTGCCTGTCCAATTCTGGAATCGAGCTTGCTGCTAAGCTCTTCATGGTTGCATCCTTTAAAGGCTGTGCCCTACTTCCAGTGGGACAGCCAAGAGTCACCTGCCCTTCTCCTAACATAGAACAGTTCTACTTTCTGGAGAAGTCCCCTGACTGTCCCTGTTCCTCACACTGGGGCCCCTCTAATAGCAAAAATACATTTGACTTTGAATAGAGACCTTCAGACATCTGATCATCCTGTTGGATGTCTTCAACACATTCTTAAAATGTTTTCCAAGTCAGCTGGTGAGTAGCGTCTGATTTTGACTTATAATATATCAGTTCCTGGGATACAACCCTGAAGTTAGAAAGTGTTTGAAACCATCCTATATTTACAATAGGACTTTAATAAGCTGTCTCATTGGAAACTGGCCACAGAGCACATACATAGATGGTCAAAAGCCAAAGCCTCTTGTATTAGCTCAGGCTGCCATAACAAAGTACCATAACAAAGTACCACTGGGTGGCTTAAACAAATAGGTAGATGTTTCTCGCATTTCTGGAGGCTGGGAAGTTTGAGATCAAGGTTCTAGCAGGTTTGATGCCTGGTGAGGGTCTCTTCCTGGCTTGTAGACAGCTACCTTCTCTGTGTGTCTGCACATGGCAGAAGGAGAGAATGCGAGCAAGCTCTCTGATGTCTCTTATAAGAGCGGTAATCCCATCACGAAGGTTCCACCTTAATGACCTCATCTAACTCTAATTACGTCCAAAGGCCTCATCTACAGATACATCACACTGGGTCTTAGGGTTTCAACATACGAGTTTTGGTGGGGGTGGGGGCACAGTTCAGTTCACAGCATCTCCTTCATAAGTGACAGATGAGGAAGGACTGTCAAAATCACTGTGGGGCAAATATCTACTGAAGCTGAATTCCTAAAACCCTAAAGTTCTCCTAGGAGACGAAAAGTGGTTCCTCGGTAGGCATGCTAGCTCTGATTAGAAATGGAAAAAAAATCAGAAATGAAAAAAAGAACTCTCTTGGCACTACTTCTGGTCTGTGGATCTGCCCCACAGGAAAGACATAGCTTTCAATGTGTCTAATGGCATCTGAACAGACGTTCAGGTAACAGGAGGGTAGCAGAGACCCACAGGTTGAGGTTTTACCCATGAATTAAAAGAATGAGAAATTCTCAGCCTACTAAGGTTTCAGACATTATTGCAAATGACAGTGCAGAAAAGTGTTAGTAAGTGAAGATAGTTAGTATATCTAACTATACTAGTGAGTGAAGAAGTTAGTATATCACACGAGGTGCTGAGGTATACTGGATCCTTAGAAAACTACATGTGATCCTGTATTTGAAAGCATCTGTCATACAGTACACACTTAAAAAAAGTTGGAGAACGTAAAGAAAATCTGGTTTTCTCCGAAACTCCTCCCAGCAATGAAGAGGGCTGTTGTCATAGCAAATAATAATAGTTCCTTTTTGTTGAGCACCTACTATGCAACAGTTTATGGGAGAGACTATAGTGCTCACCCACATCTCATCTTCCTCTCTTTCCTGGATACATGGGAACAGTACAGTCCACTTGTAGTTAGGAAGGGTCATGTGACAACCCCTTACCACTGAAACATGAGCAGAAGCATTGTTTGTCACATCTAGACATCTGAGAGCCAGTGTGCCATTTCCATGCTTTCTCCCTCCATCTAATAGTAAACATGGCAGCCTCATGTTGAGGTGGTGGAATCCCGAGGTGGAAGCTGCCTGGATACCTGGGTCACGGGAGAGTGGAGAGGCCCTGTCAAACCACATCAGGACTCATGTGCACATTAAATAAACTTGTGTTTTGTCATGTCACTCAAATTCCAGGGTTTGCCTATTGCATCAGCTAGCAGTTACTTCAGTTACTTTAACTGACTAATACACAGCTACTATTTTTGCTGTTAGGCTTATTTAGATATTGTAATTTAAAAGATAATTGTGCCTATATTCTTGTTGCAAAAGAAATCTAAAATACAGATAATTCACAATTCTTCTCTGTATAAAGTTCCTCCACAATTCAGCCCGCACCTCAGAGGTCACCACAATCAGCAACCTGCTGTGTACTATTTTATTGTATATTTTTATTCTTTTCTGTTTTAGTTTGTTTTTGAATGCATTTATTTCACAAATATGTTCATTAGGTGCTATAAAAATGTTTGTATCACCTTTTGTGTTTGTATAAATTAAATCAACAATAATTTCGGTCAAAATTAGTAGTCCCGAGAATTTTTCTCCTTTATACAGGGTGCATATCCGGGGGCCTTCAAAAAGCTCATGAAAAAAAATTGAATTAAAAGATAAAAATAAAAAATATGAACCAATTTCTGAACATAAACTATATCAAGTTCAAGACACTTTTGTAAGTGACGATACCAGATATTTAGTCCATTCCTAAAGAACTGAGAGTCCTGGGAATTTAACCACGTCAGTGCAGTCCTTTTACATTATTAACTGAAGAAAACTGAGTGTCCTTTGACAACTTCTCAAGATTTGGACTGTGGGCTTTTGCGTTAACGCTGAAATGAGTTAAGACTTTGGGGGACTGTTGGGAAGGCAGGATTGGTTTTGAAAGGTGAAGACATGAGATTTGGGAGGGGCCACATGTGGAATGATATTGTTTGGCTCTGTGTCCCCACACAAATCTCATCTTGTAGCTCCCAATATTCCCACATGTTGTGGGAGGGACCCAGTGGGAGATAATTGAATCATGGGGTTGGGTCTTTCCCATACTGTTCTCGTGATAGTGAATAAGTCTCAAGAGATCTGATGGTTTTAAAAACGGCAGTTTCCCTGTACAAGCTCTCTCTCTCTTTGTCTGCCGCCATCCATGTAAGACGTGACTTGCTCCTCCTTGCCTTCCACCATGATTGTGAGGCCTACCCAGCCACGTGGAACTGCAAGTCCAATAAACATCTTTCTTTTGTAACATTCCCAGTCTCTGGTATGCTTTATCAGCTGTGTGAAAAGGAATAAATACAGAGGGGTTCCCCTACTTCATTTGAAGGTTTATTAACTAACAATAATCAGTATAGTGTGGAATTGTCCTAAATTTAGAAACACATAAAAAGAAGAGAGTAAAGTCCAGGAATGGATCCACATGTATATGCATATATATATAAGTCAAATATTGATAAAGATACAAATGAAGATTCGAGGAGAGAAATGATAGTGTATTCAACTGGGTCTAGAACAACTGGATATCTATATGCAAAACTGAATTTCAATCCGTAATTGCTTTCTTCCTGTCTATCTATCTATCTAGCTACCTACCTACATATCTATCTATGTAAAAAGGGAGGGAGAGAAAGAAAGATAAAGGTTTCATAAGGAATTATCTCATGTGATTATGAGGTCTTGTATATCCCAAATCTGTGAGGCAGGCCAGCAGGCTAGAAACTCACACAACATTTTTATGTTAGTCTTGCGGTAGAATTCCTTTTCCAGGAAACCTTAGTCTTTTCTCTTAACACCTTCAACTAACTGGATGAGGCCCATCCACATTATGGAGATTAAACTGCTTCCCTTAAAGTCAACTGATGGTAAATGTCAATCACAACTACAAAATACCTTCACAACAACATCTAGACTACTGTTTGACCACACGGCTGAGCACTATAGCCTAGACAAGTTGACACATAATATTAACCATCGCACATATCTTACACCATACAAAAATGTAACTCAAAATGAACCACAGACTTAAATGTCAAAATTATGGGTTTTTTTTTTTCTGTAGGAGAAAACAAAAAAAAATTGTGTTACCTGAGGTTATGTCTTAGTAAGCTCAGGCTGCCCTAACAAAATGCCATGGACTGAGTAGCTGAAACAAAACAAATTTATTTTTTTTCACAGTTTTGAAGTATGGAAGTCCCAGATCAAGGACTGGCAGGGTTGGTTTCTGGTGACGGCCTTATTCCTGGCTTGTAGATAGCCCTTTCTCAATATATCCGTTCTTGGCCTTTCCTCTGTGCATGTGCAGAGAGAGAGAGAGAGAGAGAGCTAGTGCAGGCACACAAGTAATTTCTTCTGTCTCTTCTAACTGCTTATAACCATACTAATCCTATGGGATCGAGGCCCCACCCTTATGACCTCTTTTAATATTAATTACTTCCTTAGAGGCCTCATCTCCAAATGCAGACACCCCGGGGCTGAGGGCTTCAAAGTATGAATTTGGTGGAGGACATAAGCATTAGCAAAGAATGCACACATAGATTAATAAAACAGAATAGAGCTCAGAAATAGACCTGCACACTTATAGTCAGGTGATTCACAACAAAGGCAATAATGGTGAAAGTACAGTTTTTCCAGCAAAAGGTGCCTGAACAATTAGACATCTACAGGCAAATTATAATAACCTAGAAACATCCTTACATATTCCAGAAAAATTAACTCGATATAAATCACAGACCTAATGCAAAATGCAAAAACTATACAACCCTCTATAAGAAAACATAAGAGAAAATTCACATAACTTTGAGTTCAGTGGTGAGTTTTTAAATTCAACACCAAAAGCATGATCAATGAAAGAAAAATTTACCAAGTAGATTTTATTAAAATAAACATCATGTGCTCTTCAAAGGACAATGTTAAGAGAATGAAAACAGAAGCCACAGACTAGCAGAAAACATCGGTGGTACACATATGTGATAAAGAACATATCTCTACAACATACACGAATTCTTAAAGTTCAACGACAGAAAAAACATGAAAATAGGCAAAGATCTGAACACACTCCTCACAAAAGAAGATATACACATGGCAAATAAGCATAAAAAAGTACTGAGAATCCGTTCTCATTAGATAACTGTGTACTAAAATGAGATACCACTACACACCTATTAGAATGTCCAAAATCCATAAAAAAGCAAAAAAAAAAAAAAAAAAGAAAAGAAAACCAAGATCAATTGCCAGGGAAGATGTGGAGCAACAGAAACTCTCATTCATTGCTGGTGGAAATGCAACATGGTACAGCCACTTTGGAAGACAATTTGGCGTTTTCTTAAAAAACTGAACACAGCATAAGATTCAGCAGTCATAATCAATTTACCCAATTGACGTGAAAACTTACGTCTACATAAAAATTTGTATACGATTGTATACAAAAGATTATTTCATAATCACCAAAAATAGAAGCATCCAAAATGTATTTCATTTGGTGGATGGATATATATATACACACGCACTATGGTACAACCAGACAATGATACTACTACTCCTCAATGAAAAGGAATAAGTTCTGAGCCACACAAAGTTATACATGACTCTTCAGTTCATTATGCTAGGTGAAAGAAACCAGTCTAAAAAGGCTACATAGTATGCGAGTCTATTTATATGACATTCAGGAAAAGGCAAAATTATAAAGATGAAACACCTATCAGTGGCAGCCAAGGGGGTTATCTGACAAGCACAGGGGATTTATCAGGGCAGTGAAACTAGTATGGTAATACTGTAATGGTGGATGCATGCTTGCTTTCATCTGAATATTTGTGTTCCCACAAACTTCATCTGCTGAAATACCAAGGTGATGGTATTAGGTAGAAGGTGGGGTATTTGGAGAATGACTAGTTCATGAGAGCAGAGTCCTCATGAATGGGATCAGTGTTTTTATAAAATAGACTCCACAGAGATCCCTTGCCCCTTCTTCCATGTGAGGACATAGGGGAAAGGCAACTGTCTATGAACTAGGGAGCAGGTCTCCATCAGACATGAAATCTGCCAGCACCTTGATCTTGGACTTCCCAACCTCTAGAATGTGAGAAATAAAGTTGTGTTGTTTATAAGCCACCCAGTCTACACTATTTTTGTTATGGAAGCCCAAAGGGACTAAGACAACGGCACGAGGCATTTGTCAAAACCCATAGATCTTTACAGCACAAAGAGTGAAGCTTAATGTATGTAAAGTCTAAAAGTAACTTAAGAAGTTGGAGAATCATGGGACAGAATGTAGAATGTTACACACACACACAAACCTAGCTGTATTATACATGTATGAAACCACTACAGTGAAGCAAGTGGCGGGAAAGTTACCATATTTGGGTACTCCATCAAAGAAATATGTTTTTTATAAAGTATAAGTCGGCCAGATAAGCATGTAAAATAGTTGAATATTTGATAATCATTTATATAATTTTTCAGATATGAAAACTATTGGGATTCTGTTTAATAAAACGTCCTTATCTTTTAAAAATGCATATTGAGTTATTTCGAGATGAAATGGTCTAATGCCTTAGATTCGCTCCACGTTATTCCAGAAGCTGATGTGCAGGTAGGCAAGTGTCTAACTGGAACCAGATTTGCTGTGTATTTAAAGTTGTTCATGCTGGGTATCTAGTATCCTGGGTTCATTACATTAGTTCCTATTATTCTGTACGTGTGAAGGCTTTCCCTAGTAAAACTTTTTTTATAATAAATATGCCATTAAAAGTGAAATCCTAAATGAAACTGACCACTTTGTAGAAATAAAATAAACCAGTAACCAAACTGATCCAAAAAGAAAAAGAAAACTTTAATTAAACTATAAAAACTGAAACTGTACAATATTCAAAGCTCAAGCCACCTTCAAACATTCCAGGTTAGGCAGTATTGGAGGCCAATTCTACCAAATGATCAGGGAAAACTAACCACCATCTTATCTCATCTCTTCTAGAACATACAAAATATTTACAATTGTTCAATTCATTCTTCCAGACTAGCCCTCCTGGATTCAAAAACCAGATGAGGACCACATCCCACCCTTGATGGGAAAAAAAGCACACATTAAGTAAGCTCCCTTACATAGCAGCAAATATCCTACGTAAATTACTAGCATATTAAATAAACAGGCTCTGCCCAAGGAAATAACATACGGTTTAACATTAGGGGAAAAAAAAAAAACGGTTTCATTGTAATTCCTTACATACAAAATGGAGGAGAAAAAAATTTGATTGTGTCAACGGGTACAGAAAAAGCTTTTTAAAGAAATTTAATATGAGTTCATGGTAAAAAAAAAAAAAAGTATTTAACCTATATTCAAAGAGAAATTGCACTTCCTAAAATCAACAGCAAACATACTTAAATGCAAAACGTTCGAATAATTATCATTCACGTCAGGAACGAGAAGTAGATGTAGGCTATTATCTCTACGATTGAAATCAGGATTGAGACACAAAGAGCTATAAGTACCAAAATGAGTAAGTGGTATGAATACTGGAAGAATATGTAATGTTTAGTGATAATACCATTATCGATCTTGAAAATTCAAAGGAAAAGGTATGTGGAATATTCAAGTGCATCGGCCTTCAGAACGAGGAGTGCAACAGATTACTACAGCAAAATCAAAATCTTCACCTCACGAAAGCAATAACTAACTACAACAATTAATAGACAATATGCCATTTGCAATAGCAACAAAATTCATGAATTGCCTGAAAAGAAGTCTAATAAAAATGTATAAGGTCTTTATAGAGACAACTGTCGAAGTATACTGACATATTCAGGTAAAAAAAAGCTTGAAATACATAGAGGAGTATAATATATTCATTCATGGGGAGCACAACACTGTAAAAATGTAAACTCAGCTTAAATTATTTACAATTTAGTGCCTTACCTGTAGCCGCCGCCATTACAACAAATTTGGGCTGCTGTGCTCTGCTTCCCAAATCAAACCTGGAAAATTACAGAATGGAAACAGTAAATAAAAAACCAGTATCAGCAACAAAATCTACGCAACAAAACAGGGAAAGCCCAGGGTGAGACTCAAGGCTGTGTTGAGCTGGTACTTGTGTTTGACACTTGCAGTGTTGGTTGGAGGGGGTTAGCAGCAGGGATGTTGGGGAGGTTTGTAGCCGGCCTACACGGTAGATGACAGAATGGGTAGAATAAAAGTTTGAAATTTTCCACTTCACTTCTTTGCACAATCTGAGGCAGCCTCTGAAAACACGATGCCAAGAGCCCTAGGTAATAGCAGGACACCAGGAAAATTTGGTTGGTTAAGGCAGTATGACTCCAGAGTTCTGCTAATAACAACCTGAAACCACCATAGTGGCAGAGGAATTACATTTTTTAAAAAAAAAAATTCTTTCAACAGAACACAAAGACTGAAATAGGAGGTCACTACAACCGCGGGAGCTGCCGCCCCGCCCTGCAGGGAGCACCTGGCCTGGGACCCGCAGGCATTCTCTACAAGGGGTGCAGCTGTGCAAATGCTCACAGGTGACAGAAACAGAGCATCTCCTGCCCATCACTTCATCCAACAGCCAGAGGTGACGAAGACGACCCTCCTGAGTGAGGACTGAGGGTCCACACCGCCCCCCCACCCCACACACCATAGAGGGACCACAGAATCCAGCTCAGCCCCTCTTGTCAGCCCTGGTAAACGCAGGCAGTGATGTCACCCAGACCACACCCCTTCCCCCAATGCCACTTCAGGGGGACTCAGAGTCAGAGACTTGGTCTGAGGGGAGCAGAAGCAATCTGCAGAGGATGGCGGTCCAGGCTCAGCCAGGCATCAACTTCAGGACCCTGAGGGATGACCGAAGGCCCCGCCCACCCACCCCCAACTCCCCCGACCCCACCAGGATCTACAGCCTCAGGACCCCCGTCCCAATCCTTACCCCTTGCCCCATCACCATCTTCATGCTTACCTCCACCCCCATCCGATCCCCATCCAGGCAGAATCCAGTTCCACCCCTGCCCGGAACCCAGGGTAGTACCGTTGCCAGGATGTGACGCCACTGACTTGCGCATTGGAGGTCAGAAGACCGCGAGATTCTCGCCCTGAGCAACGAGCGACGGCCTGACGTCGGCGGAGGGAAGCCGGCCCAGGCTCGGTGAGGAGGCAAGGTAAGACGCTGAGGGAGGACTGAGGCGGGCCTCACCTCAGACAGAGGGCCTCAAATAATCCAGTGCTGCCTCTGCTGCCGGGCCTGGGCCACCCCGCAGGGGAAGACTTCCAGGCTGGGTCGCCACTACCTCACCCCGCCGACCCCCGCCGCTTTAGCCACGGGGAACTCTGGGGACAGAGCTTAATGTGGCCAGGGCAGGGCTGGTTAGAAGAGGTCAGGGCCCACGCTGTGGCAGGAATCAAGGTCAGGACCCCGAGAGGGAACTGAGGGCAGCCTAACCACCACCCTCACCACCATTCCCGTCCCCCAACACCAACCCCACCCCCATCCCCCATTCCCATCCCCACCCCCACCCCTATCCTGGCAGAATCCGGGCTTTGCCCCTGGTATCAAGTCACGGAAGCTCCGGGAATGGCGGCCAGGCACGTGAGTCCTGAGGTTCACATCTACGGCTAAGGGAGGGAAGGGGTTCGGTATCGCGAGTATGGCCGTTGGGAGGCAGCGAAAGGGCCCAGGCCCTCCTGGAAGACAGTGGAGTCCTGAGGGGACCCAGCATGCCAGGACAGGGGGCCCACTGTACCCCTGTCTCAAACCGAGGCACCTTTTCATTCGGCTACGGGAATCCTAGGGATGCAGACCCACTTCAGCAGGGGGTTGGGGCCCAGCCCTGCGAGGAGTCATGGGGAGGAAGAAGAGGGAGGACTGAGGGGACCTTGGAGTCCAGATCAGTGGCAACCTTGGGCTGGGGGATGCTGGGCACAGTGGCCAAATGTGCTCTGTGCTCATTGCGCCTTCAGGGTGACCAGAGAGTTGAGGGCTGTGGTCTGAAGAGTGGGACTTCAGGTCAGCAGAGGGAGGAATCCCAGGATCTGCAGGGCCCAAGGTGTACCCCCAAGGGGCCCCTATGTGGTGGACAGATGCAGTGGTCCTAGGATCTGCCAAGCATCCAGGTGAAGAGACTGAGGGAGGATTGAGGGTACCCCTGGGACAGAATGCGGACTGGGGGCCCCATAAAAATCTGCCCTGCTCCTGCTGTTACCTCAGAGAGCCTGGGCAGGGCTGTCAGCTGAGGTCCCTCCATTATCCTAGGATCACTGATGTCAGGGAAGGGGAAGCCTTGGTCTGAGGGGGCTGCACTCAGGGCAGTAGAGGGAGGCTCTCAGACCCTACTAGGAGTGGAGGTGAGGACCAAGCAGTCTCCTCACCCAGGGTACATGGACTTCAATAAATTTGGACATCTCTCGTTGTCCTTTCCGGGAGGACCTGGGAATGTATGGCCAGATGTGGGTCCCCTCATGTTTTTCTGTACCATATCAGGTATGTGAGTTCTTGACATGAGAGATTCTCAGGCCAGCAGAAGGGAGGGATTAGGCCCTATAAGGAGAAAGGTGAGGGCCCTGAGTGAGCACAGAGGGGATCCTCCACCCCAGTAGAGTGGGGACCTCACAGAGTCTGGCCAACCCTCCTGACAGTTCTGGGAATCCGTGGCTGCGTTTGCTGTCTGCACATTGGGGGCCCGTGGATTCCTCTCCCAGGAATCAGGAGCTCCAGGAACAAGGCAGTGAGGACTTGGTCTGAGGCAGTGTCCTCAGGTCACAGAGTAGAGGGGGCTCAGATAGTGCCAACGGTGAAGGTTTGCCTTGGATTCAAACCAAGGGCCCCACCTGCCCCAGAACACATGGACTCCAGAGCGCCTGGCCTCACCCTCAATACTTTCAGTCCTGCAGCCTCAGCATGCGCTGGCCGGATGTACCCTGAGGTGCCCTCTCACTTCCTCCTTCAGGTTCTGAGGGGACAGGCTGACCTGGAGGACCAGAGGCCCCCGGAGGAGCACTGAAGGAGAAGATCTGTAAGTAAGCCTTTGTTAGAGCCTCCAAGGTTCCATTCAGTACTCAGCTGAGGTCTCTCACATGCTCCCTCTCTCCCCAGGCCAGTGGGTCTCCATTGCCCAGCTCCTGCCCACACTCCCGCCTGTTGCCCTGACCAGAGTCATCATGCCTCTTGAGCAGAGGAGTCAGCACTGCAAGCCTGAAGAAGGCCTTGAGGCCCGAGGAGAGGCCCTGGGCCTGGTGGGTGCGCAGGCTCCTGCTACTGAGGAGCAGGAGGCTGCCTCCTCCTCTTCTACTCTAGTTGAAGTCACCCTGGGGGAGGTGCCTGCTGCCGAGTCACCAGATCCTCCCCAGAGTCCTCAGGGAGCCTCCAGCCTCCCCACTACCATGAACTACCCTCTCTGGAGCCAATCCTATGAGGACTCCAGCAACCAAGAAGAGGAGGGGCCAAGCACCTTCCCTGACCTGGAGTCCGAGTTCCAAGCAGCACTCAGTAGGAAGGTGGCCGAGTTGGTTCATTTTCTGCTCCTCAAGTATCGAGCCAGGGAGCCGGTCACAAAGGCAGAAATGCTGGGGAGTGTCGTCGGAAATTGGCAGTATTTCTTTCCTGTGATCTTCAGCAAAGCTTCCAGTTCCTTGCAGCTGGTCTTTGGCATCGAGCTGATGGAAGTGGACCCCATCGGCCACTTGTACATCTTTGCCACCTGCCTGGGCCTCTCCTACGATGGCCTGCTGGGTGACAATCAGATCATGCCCAAGGCAGGCCTCCTGATAATCGTCCTGGCCATAATCGCAAGAGAGGGCGACTGTGCCCCTGAGGAGAAAATCTGGGAGGAGCTGAGTGTGTTAGAGGTGTTTGAGGGGAGGGAAGACAGTATCTTGGGGGATCCCAAGAAGCTGCTCACCCAACATTTCGTGCAGGAAAACTACCTGGAGTACCGGCAGGTCCCCGGCAGTGATCCTGCATGTTATGAATTCCTGTGGGGTCCAAGGGCCCTCGTTGAAACCAGCTATGTGAAAGTCCTGCACCATATGGTAAAGATCAGTGGAGGACCTCACATTTCCTACCCACCCCTGCATGAGTGGGTTTTGAGAGAGGGGGAAGAGTGAGTCTGAGCACGAGTTGCAGCCAGGGCCAGTGGGAGGGGGTCTGGGCCAGTGCACCTTCCGGGGCCGCATCCCTTAGTTTCCACTGCCTCCTGTGACGTGAGGCCCATTCTTCACTCTTTGAAGCGAGCAGTCAGCATTCTTAGTAGTGGGTTTCTGTTCTGTTGGATGACTTTGAGATTATTCTTTGTTTCCTGTTGGAGTTGTTCAAATGTTCCTTTTAACGGATGGTTGAATGAGCGTCAGCATCCAGGTTTATGAATGACAGTAGTCACACATAGTGCTGTTTATATAGTTTAGGAGTAAGAGTCTTGTTTTTTACTCAAATTGGGAAATCCATTCCATTTTGTGAATTGTGACATAATAATAGCAGTGGTAAAAGTATTTGCTTAAAATTGTGAGCGAATTAGCAATAACATACATGAGATAACTCAAGAAATCAAAAGATAGTTGATTCTTGCCTTGTACCTCAATCTATTCTGTAAAATTAAACAAATATGCAAACCAGGATTTCCTTGACTTCTTTGAGAATGCAAGCGAAATTAAATCTGAATAAATAATTCTTCCTCTTCACTGGCTCGTTTCTTTTCCGTTCACTCAGCATCTGCTCTGTGGGAGGCCCTGGGTTAGTAGTGGGGATGCTAAGGTAAGCCAGACTCACGCCTACCCATAGGGCTGTAGAGCCTAGGACCTGCAGTCATATAATTAAGGTGGTGAGAAGTCCTGTAAGATGTAGAGGAAATGTAAGAGAGGGGTGAGGGTGTGGCGCTCCGGGTGAGAGTAGTGGAGTGTCAGTGCCCTGAGCTGGGGCATTTTGGGCTTTGGGAAACTTCAGTTCCTTCTGAAGGAGCTGACTCTAATGAAGTTGGGTGGGCCCAGAGCCAGATTCTCAGAGTGTGGGAGAAAAGCCTGGAATGGAAAGCAACTCTGAGCAGTTTCTTTCGAATGGGGGATGAACAGAGAGGAATCTCTACCTCAGGCAGGAATGGAAGGTGTCGTCTGCTTTTGTCCCACTGCTGTTGAACGCAGCCCAAGATCTAGGTGATGGACACCCATCATCTGCAAGGGTTTCCTGAGCGATAAGGCTGAATTTCCCAGGAAGGGTGGCCCAGAAGCCCCTGGCCAGGTGCTTTTCTGCCGGGCAGGGAGAGCCAGAGCTGACTCCATTAAAAAAGGCATTCCAACTAGGTTATCTCAAGTGCAATTTGACCAATTGTAAGCACGGGCTAGATTTTGGATGGTAACAAAATGGATGAAAATGGTGGTTTGGGTGGGAAAGCAGCTGGGAGAGAGAGAAGCAGTTGGTCTTTTGACGCAGATTGTAGGAGCTCCGAGCTGCACCTGGCTGGGCGAAACTCCTGCACACCCAAATTTTGAAGCGCGTTCTCTGAGAGGAAATACTTAACTGAATTTTATGGAAGAAGCTTCTGTTTGGGGCTAATTATTCCATGTCCTATTGAGCTGTATATTCTCTGGTAAGTCCTGGAGAACAACGACAGCAACAACAAAATCCCGGAGTGTTAGGGCCTCGGGTTAAAAAATATTGGAAATAACAGCCATCCGCCATTTGTTAAACTTCTAATTTATACCAGGCCCGGAGTCAGGTGCTTCACCTGCGTTGCATACACTCCAACTGTCCTACTAGACAGTCCTTATCACATCTGCTTACAGATGAAGAATCCAAGGCTCACAGGGTGTGTGAATTGGGATATAAAAACAGGGTATTTCCTGGGTATTTCCCAGGATCACGTGGCTAGTGAGGAACAGGGCAGAACCCGACCCCTGTTCTGAATTCCTTTAGAGCCCATGCTGTTCCCACTTCTCCCAGCCCGAGGCTGACCTCCTGACAGCGACTTCATTTTTCTTCTCAGCACTGCACCATGTCTCTCAGGTGACAAAAAGAAGGACCTCGAGGCCAGCGTAATAAAGCAGGCCTGGAGAACGCGACAATGAGAATCAAACACCATTTGGGGCTGGTGTGCGCTGGGTTCCCTGAGAGCTGACACTGGCAAGATGTGTTCATTTCTGTCCAGCCCCAGCACTTTCAGAATTACAGCACATTTCCCCGGGTCACTTCCATGTGTCCTGTCTGACTCCGGAACCTATAGGGCCTGCTGATCAGCTCCTCACTGGTCCCCACAGAACAGCCCAGAATCCCCTGCTCACCTCCTGACAGGGAGCATTCCTTCTCACAGTAGAAGTCCTCTGGCTGTCCCGTCTCTCACCCAGGAAGCCATATGACATCAACAATCCTTTTGATATAAAAATTCACATGGGGACAGTGACGTTTAGACACCTGGTTACCACTCCGGTTGTCTTCAATACACTCTCTAATTGTTTTCTGAAAGGGCTGAGTAGTCTGTTTCTCCATATTATCTAAGGGTTCTTGTGTGATGTCACCCTGAAGTGAGAGGAATTTGGAACCACCTTGATACCTGAAATCAGACTTTCACAGGGCGTCCTTTTGGAATTCGCCTCTGAATACATGCACAGATAAATGGTCAAAGAGCAAACCATCCCTCATGAGTACTAGATGAGAAAAACCTTGGGAAATCCCAGTGGAACAAACATCTACTTACTGAGGCTGAATTCCTAAATTTCTGGAGTCCTCCAGGAGTCTAAAAACGATTCCTTGAAAACATGTCAACTCTAATGAAAGAGGAATAATTAAGCAGCCTTCTGTTTCTTGTCTGTTTACCTGCTCCACGGGAAAATACTGGGCTTTATTGTGCCTACAGGCACTCGAGAGGTGTTCAGGCTTGTGGAGGGTAGCAGAAATTCACAGGTTAACATTTTGACCGGGAATCAAATGGAGGAAAAATGCTCAGCCTACTAAGGATTAAAGGGTATTGCAAAGGGAAGCCTTCTCGCCGAGACTTTCAAGATTCTTGGGCAGTTAGTTGTGATCGTATATTTGAAAACATCAGTTACATATTTGACACTGGAAAAAGTTGGAGAATGTCACGGCAAATTTGGCCTTCTCAGAAACTCCTCCTAGAAATGAGAAGGGTAGTGTAATACCAAAGAATCACAGTTGTTTTTGTTGAGCACCTACTATGTAACAGTTTATGGGGGAGGGTATAGTACTCACACACATTTTGTCTCTGTCTCCTTCCTGGACACATGGGAACAGTAAAGTCCTTGCAGTTAGGATGGGTCATGTGACATTTCCTTTATACCAATATAGGAGCAGAAGCATTGTTTGTCACATCCAGGCATGTGGGAGCCAGTGTGCCATTTCCAAGCTTTCTCTCCGCTTTCACTAGCAAACATGGCAGCTTCATCTTGAGATGACGGAATCACAAGGTGGAAGCAGCTTGGATTCCTGGGTCCCGTGAGAGTGGAGAGCCCCTGGCAAACTGCATCAGAACTTATTTGCACATAAAATAAACTTGTGTTGTGGCAAGCCATTCGTGGTTGTTCTGTTGCAATGGCTAGCAGTTACTTAAACTGACATGGCTAGTATTTCTGTTTGTCAGGTTTAATTTTTTTTTATTTAAAATGTAGTATTGTACATATTCTTATTGCAAAACTTATAGAAATGTAGATAATTCACAATTTTCCCCTTTACAAATCTCCTCCACATTTAACAACGCCCACCACCCCCACCGCCCCCTCAGAGGTCACCACAATTAACGGTGTTGTATATTATTTTACTGCTGACTCTAGGCTTCTCACTGACAGATAAACTATAACAATATGTTGTTTTTATTTAATATACAAGAACAATGATATACATACTGATATTCTTTTATCACTTTATAAAATGGATGTAGGATCTTTCCACAACGGTAGATAGATAGATAGATAGATAGATCTTTCTCACTTTTGAAACCACTTTCTATAATTCTAAAGTAGACATGCACCACAATTAATTAAACTCTTTCTTCCTAGTGGACATATAAGTTGTTTCCCATTTGCTGTATGATAACTACAATAAAATCAACATCTCTGAATATGAATTTTTAGGCAAACATGGTTTTCTTATAAGAAGGATATATTAACATGGACACTGGGTTAAAGTGAAAGGGTGAAAATAGTTTAACATTTAAAATATTTCTAAAATGTTATTACAAAAGTGCTGTACCAATTCAAATTCTCATAAAAATCACAATTGATTTAAAATTCTGAAATGTGGACAGGACATTTCTTCTCTGCTTTGAGAAGGATTTGGTGAGACTGAAGAGGAGCCAGGTAATGAGAGCAGACAGGAGACCCTCAGCCCGTGAGGGAGGATCCAGGGAGGATCCTGGGGAGAGCCGTTGCTAGCGTCCATGAGAGAGACCACATGCGAAACCAAGTCCACAGAGCCCCAGGCAGGCTGTCACTCCGAGCTCTAAATCCAGACTTCAGGCCGGTGGGGTCAGGGGCCTGAGGGAGAGAAGGGGGAAGGGAGGAGGGAGGACAGGACAATGAATAGGAATAGAGTTGGGAAATCCCGGCAACATCATCACCAGCTGGAGGGGGCCCTGTGATCTGAGTGTTGGCTGAATGCACCAGGGCTGTGCTGGTCAACCTTCCCGCCCTCAGAATCCCCTTCCCTCTCTCAGGAAGAGCTTGGCTGACTCCCTGCGTCATTCTGGGCCAGCTACCTCTCTTGAACACTCCAGTGGTCCTTTGTACCTTCACCAGCGTCCCAGATGTGGGAACTGTCTTCATGCCTGCTGGGGGCTGGTGTTTTATCCCCCGGGGACCTTCTATAGAGGCTGGGCTATGTGAGTGGGTTGCTGACTGATGACCAACTGCCGAGACAGGCCAGGAATGCCCATGAGCAGTTGAAAGGGGCAGTGGGGCTGCATGGAGGAGAAATGGGAGGAGGAGTGCCCTGGGACTAGTCAGCTCAGACTCTGCAGATGAAGGATTGGCTGTGGACGTGCCTTGAAAATGTTCCAGTTGGCCACTGTGTCTCAGATAGCCTTCTGTGGCTTCTGAACCCTTGGCACAGAACGGGACAGGAGTCCTAGGGCAGTGACCGCTGGCGTATGTTGCCAGATGACAGTGTCTGGGGTAGGGGGCTGGACCAAGGTGTGTACGTGAGCAGGTTGTATGGCAAGGCATTGCAGGTGGCAGCTTTCCTTGTTAAACTGATGGGGACGTGTGGGGTCCAATACAGGAAGCATCCTGTTGGGAGCATCCTCACCTCCATGACAGTGTTTGGGCCTGGGGAGAAGGCGTCTGCAGTGACCCTCTCCGTGGTAGTTTCCACAGGGTTTCTGAACTCAACTGAGCACAGGTGAAGGAACTGTGGGTTTCTTCATGTAGGCAGGAGGCCCAGGAAGGGCAGACTCCATAATTTGAATCAAAGAATTCCCATGCCAGGTGATTTCATTCATTCCATGCACGTATTGATTCCTACAGAAAACTTTTATTCAATATATGCTGAGGAAACACCAAGTCAACAAAACAATAGAAAGTGGCAAGGCCCTTAATTCAGTCTGTAGGGAGTCGGGGGAGATGAAGAGGTGGTGTGAATCGCCCATCTGAGCCAGGGAAGCCAGGAAGGCAGAGCCAGACTTGGGGACTGGCAGTGTGCAAGAAAAGGAGCGACAGCCTGTGTCCGGGCCAGAAAGCTCTCCTTCTATTACACTATCGATCTGGTTTTCTTCCTGGATGCTGCCTGTGTGTGAAAGCAACTGCTGCTCTCTGTGCCTACCTGCCTCTGTTAGTAGGGAAAATGGTCATGGTCAGCGGATGCTCACTTCTGCTCACCTTGGATCACTTCTACTGAAGGGATGGTTTGACAACAAGAAGACAGGAAGAAACTTTTGGGGAGGATGAATATATTTTTCACCTTCACTGTGGTTGTGGTTTCATGGGACTAAACATTTCTCAAAACTCTTTGATTTGTTTCTCAGTACTTAGGAGAAAAAGTAAGCAGAAAACCAGGAAGGATATAGATGACCTGAAAAGCACCATTAACTACTCTGACTAAATAAAACAATAAGAAAAGCACCGCATTCAACAATAGCAGAATAAACAATCCTCTCAAGTGTGCATGAAATATCTCCCAAGATAGATGGTATTCTGGGCCATCAAACAAAGCTTACAAATTGAAAAGAATAGAAATAATAGATAGCCTCTTCTTAGGCCATAATATAATTAAACTCAAAACCAAACACCAAGATATCTGAAAAATGCCCAAATATTGGAAATTTTAAAATAAGCTCCTATATAACCTATGGGTCAAAGAGGGAGTCCCAGGAGAATTTTAAAAATACATTAAGTTGAATGAAAGTAAAAATGTACATACAAAAAGTGGGATTCTGCTAAAGTGTGTCCTTGAGGGAAATATATAGCATATTTTAAATGTTTATATTAGAAAATGAAATCTAAAATCAATAACCAAAAGTTTCACCCTAGGAAACCAAAGAACGAAGAGCAAGTTGAATTAGAGAAATTGTAGAGGATGCCCCCCTCCCTTCCCACACTCCCACCTCTTTCCCCTTACTCCCTACCCCTACCATTTGAGACACACAGACACACACATCATTTTGCAACATGTTCACTTTATTTTCATCACCATGGGGCACACTCTTTGGGGTGTAAAATGTACTCTACACCCTGTTGGCTATTTATCTGGGGTTAGACCTCTGGAGACTTTTCAGATAGACTTGAAGTCTCTGGCCTTGCCCGGGAATTACTGGCTGTCCGAAGAGAGACTGGAGAAGGTGGTGGTCTCCTTGCCCTTGTGGTCCCGCTATGGCTCATTTTGATTGAGTTCCTCGTTCGGCTGGTCAGAGTGGCTGGATAGTGTTGGCCCACTCCATTCCTCAGGTTTTTTTGAAGCGGCGGTCTTTTAGGGAGAGCCTTTTGTTCCTGGAACTTCCTTGATGGGTCCCTTTTCCCTTCCGGGTTGTCTTGGGAACCTGGAAGGAAACAGGGAGATCAAAGAAGGGCACTGGTTTGGGGAAGAGGATGGAGGAGGGGTGAGAACAGGGGCTTCATAGAGAAATGGTGCAGGCTGGGGTGGGGGTTGTGCCAGGGGAGGACAGGGTAGGAGTCAGAGCTTGGGTGGGCCGTTCACTTTGATAGGGCTTCTGGGCCAGGGTTGAGAGGATGCCTTCCACTTCCTCGCCTCTTTGGTGTTGGTGGGTGGTTGTTGGACAATGGGCTGGAGGCTCGTGGTTTCCTGGACATCTTCACCAGACCAGCGTCTCTCAACAGTCTACTCCAGTCCACCTGGTCTCTCCAAGCCTCCCCCAGGACAGTGAAGGCAGGCCAGCAGGCTAGAAACTCACAGCGCATTTTTATGTTAGTCTTGTGGTAGAATTCCTTTTCCAGGAAACCTTGGTCTTTTCTCTTAACACCTTCAACTAATTGGATGAGGCCCATCCACATTATGGAAGTTAAACTGCTTTACTTAAAATCAACTGATTGTAAATGTTGATCACATCTACAAAATACCTTCACAGCAACATCTAGACTACTGTTTGACCACACAGCTGAGCAGTATAGCCTAGACAAGTTGACACATAGTACTAGCCATTGCACATATCTTGCACCATACAGAAATGTAACTCAAAATGAACTACAGACTTTAAATGTCAAAATTACTTTTTTTTTTTCTAGGAGGAAACAAAAAAAAAATTGTGTCACCTGAAGTTATGTCTTAAGTCAGCTCAGGCTGCCATAACAAAATGCCATTGAGTGAGTAGCTAAAACAACAGAAATTTATTTTTTTTCTCACAGTTTTGAAGTCTGGAAGTCCTAGATCAAGGACTGGCGGGGTTGGCTTCTGGTGATGGCCTTATTCGTGGCTTGTAGATGGCCCTTTATTAATCTGTCCATTCTTGGCCTTTCCTCTGTGCATGTGCAGAGAGAGAGAGAGAGAGAGAGAGAGAGAGAGAGAGAGAGAGAGAGAAAGAGAGAGAGAGAGAGAGAGAGAGAGAAAGGTCATGTAGGCACAAAAGTACTTTCTTCTGTCTCTTCTCCCTTCTTATAACCAAACTAATTCTATGGGATCAAGGTCCCACCCTTATGGCCTCTTTTAACATTAATCACTTCCCTAGAAGCCTCATCTCCAAATACAGACACCCTGGGGCTGAGGGCTTCAAAATATGAATTTGGTGGAGGACATAAGCATTAGCAAAGAATAGACACACAGATTAATAAAACAGAATAGAGCTCAGAAATAGACCTGCACGCATATAGTCAGGTGATTCACAACAAAGGCAATAATGGTGAAAGTACAGGTTTTCCAACAAAAGGTGTCGGAACAATTAGACACCTATACACAAATTATAATAACCTGGACATATCCTTACATATTCCATGAAAACTAACTCAAGATACATCATAGGTCTAATGAAAAATGCAAAAACAATACAACCTCTATAAGAAAACATAAGAGAAAATCCACATAACTTTGAGTTTGGTGATGAGTTTTTAAATTCAACACCAAAAGCATGATCAAGGAAAGAAAAATTTGCCAAGTTGATTTTATTAAAATAAAAATCTTATGCTCTTCAAAGGACAATGTTAAGAGAATGAAAACAGAAGCCACAGACTAGCAGAAAACATCTGCGGTACACATATGTGATAAAGAACTTGTCTCTACAATATATGCGAATTCTTAAAGCTCAATGATAGAAAAAATGAAAATAGTCAAAGATCTGAACACACACTACACAAAAGAAGATATACACATGGCAAATAAGCATAATAAAAGTACTGAGCACCCTTTGGCATTAGATAATTGTGTACTAAAATGGGATACCACTGCACACCTATCAGAATGTCCAAAATCCATAGAAAACCAAAACAAAGAATACAAGACCAAGAACAATTGCCAGCGAAGATGTGGAGCAACGGAAACTCTCCTTCATTGCTGGTAGAAATGCAAAATGGCACAGCCACTTTGGAAGGCAGTTTGGCGTTTTCTTAAAAAAATGAAAATAGACTTAGCACAAGATTCAGCAGCCATACTCAATCAATTTACCCAATTGATTTGAAAACTTATGTCTACATAAAAATTTGTATATGAATGTATACAATAGCTTATTTCATAATCACCAAAAATAGAAGCATCCAAAATGTATTTCATTTGGTGAATGGATATATATATATATATATATATATATATATATATATATATAACCAGACATTGATACTACTCCTCAATGAAAAGGAATAAGTTCCAAGCCACACAAAGTTATACATGACTCTTCAGTTCATTATGCTAAGTGAAAGAAACCAGTCTAAAAAGGCTACATAGTATAAGATTCTATTTATATGACATTCTGGAAAATGCAAAATTATAAAGATGAAAAACCTATCAGTGGTGGCCATGGGGTTTATCCGACAAGCACAAGGGAATTTATCAGGGCAGTGAAACTGGTATGCATAATACTGCAATGGTGGTTCCGTGCTTGCTTTGGTCTGAATATTTGTGTTGCCACAAAATTCATCTGCTGAATTACCAAGGTGATGGTATTAGGCAGAAGGTGGGGTATTTGGAGAATGACTAGATCATGAGAGCAGAGTCCTCATGAATGGGATTAGTGTTTTTATAAAACAGACTCCACGGAGATCCCTTATCCCTTCTTGCATGTGAGGATCTAGGGAAAAGGCAGCTGTCTATGAACTAGGGAGCAGGACTCCACCAGACATGAAATCTGCCAGCACCTTGATCTTGGACTTCCCAACCTCCAGAATGTGAGAAATAAAGTTGCGTTGTCTATAAGCCACCCAGTCTATCACTATTTTTGTTATGGAAGCCCAAACGGACTAAGACAATGGCACGAGGCATTTGTCAAAACCCATAGATCTTTACAGCACAAAGAGTGAAGCTTAATGTATGTAAAGTTTAAAAGTAACTTAAGAGGTTGGAGAATCACGGGACGGCAGGTAGAATGTTCCACACACACACACACACACACACACACCTAGTTGTATAATAGATATATGAAACCACCACAATGAAGCAAGTGGGGGGAAAAGTTAACACATTTTGTACTCCATCAAAGAAATATATATTTTATAAAGTTTAAGTTGGCCAGATAAGTGTGTAACATAGTTGAACATTTGATAATCATTTATTTAATTTTTTAGATATGAAAACTATCGGCTTTTTGTTTTAAAAAAATCCTTATCTTTTAAAAATGCATATTAAGTTATTTAGAGATGAAATGGTCTAATGCCTTAGATTTACTCCACGTTATTCCAGCAGCTCATATGCAGGTAGGCGAGTGTTTAACTGGAACCAGATTTGCTGTGTATTTAAAGATGTTCATGCTCGGTATCAAGTATCCTGGGTTCATTATATTCGTTCCTGTTATTCTGTATGTGTGAAGGCTTTCCCTAATAAAACTTTTTTATCATAAATATGCCATTAAAAGTGAAATCCTAAATGAAACTGACCACTTTGTAGAAATAAAATAAATCAGTAACCAAACTGATCCAAAGAGGAAAAGAAAACTTTAACTATACAACAGAAACTGTACAATATTCAAAGCTCAAGCCACCCTCAAACATTCCAGGTTAGACAGCTTTGGAGGCCAATTTTACCAAATGATCAGGGAAAACTAACCACCGCCTTATATCAACTCTTCCAGAACATACAAAAGACTGACAATTGTTCAGTTCATTCTCCCAGGCTAGCCCTCCTGGATTTAAAAACCAGATGAGGACCACATACCTCCCCTGATGGAAAAAGAACACATCAAGTAAGCTCTCTTACACAGCAGTAAATATCCTACATAAATTAGTAGTACATTAAACGAATAAACAGGCTCTGCCCAAGGAAATAAAATATGATTTAACATTAGAAAAAACATCTGTTTCATTGTGATTCCTTACATACAAAATGGAAGAGAAAAAAATTTGATCCTGCCAACGGGTACAGAAAAAGCTTTTTAAATAAATTTAATATGAATTCATGGTAAAAAAGAAAATATTTAGGCAACCTATACTGAAAGAGAACTTCCATTTCCTAAAATCAACAGCAAACATACTTAAATGTCAAATGTTCGAAGAATTATCATTCAAGTCAGGAACGAGAAGTAGATGTAGCCTATTATCTCTACATTTGAAATCAGGATTGAGACACAAAGAGCTGTAAGTACCGAAATGAGTGAGTGGTATGAACATTGGAAAAACATGTAGTGTTTAGTGATAATACCATTATCGATCTTGAAAATTCAAAGGAAAAGGTATGCGGAATATTCAAGTGCATCGGCCTTCAGAACGAGGTGTGCAACAGATTACTACAGCAAAATCAAAATCTTCACCTCACGAAAGCAATAACTAACTACAACAATTGATAGACAATATGCCACTTGCAATAGCAACAAAATCCAAGAATTACCTGAATAGAAGCCTAATAAAAATGTATAAGTTGTTTATAGAGGCAACTACCGAAGTATACTGACATATTCAGGAAAAAAGAGCTTGAAATCCATAGAGGAGTATAACATATTCATTCACGGGGAACACAACAGTGTAAAAATGTAAACTCAGCTTAAATTATTTACAATTTAGTGCCTTACCTGTAGCCGCCGACATTACAAGCAAATTTGGGCTGCTGTGCTCTGCTTCCCAAATCAACCCTGTAAATTTATAGAATGGAAACAGAAAGTAAAACACCAGTATCAGCAAGAAAATCTACACAACAAAACAGGGAAAGCCCAGAGTGAGACTGGAGACTGTGTTGAGCTGGTACTTGTGTGTGACACTTGCAGTGTCTGTTGGAGGGGGTTAGCGGCAGAGATGTTGGGGAGGTTTGTAGCCTGCCTAGACGGCAGATGAAAGAATGGGTAGAATAAAAGTTTTGAATTTTCCACTTCACTTCATTGCACAATCTGAGGCAGCCCCTGAAAACACGATGCCAAGAGCCCTAGGTAATAGCAGTGTCCACCAGGAAAATTGGGTTTGTTAAGGCAGCATGGCTCCAGAGTTCTGCTAATAACAACCTGAAACCAACAGAGTGGGAGAGGAATTATGTTTTTTAAAAAAATTCTTTCAACAGAACACAAAGACTGGAATGGAAGTAGACTAGGATATCAGAGTGAATCATGCATACTAAGGGTAGGTGTTAGTTCATAGAAATAAATATATATATTGCTACCTACATATATACTTAGAAGATATGTAAACCGTATTTCTTCAATTCAGAGAATAAATCATTTAGGACCAAAGGTTTGCCAAGTGTAGCTCTGGCTGGGGAGGAGCCCCCGTGGGAAGGTGTGCGTCTTCTCCCAGAGGTCACTATCATCGCGGGAGCTCCTGCCCTGCAGGGAGCACCTGGCCTGGCACCCGCAGCCATTCTCTACAAGGGGTGCAGATGCGCAGATGCGCAGATGCTCAGAGGTGACAGAAACAGAGCATCTCCCACCCATTCCTTCATCAAACAGCCAGGAGTGAGGAAGAGGACCCTCCTGAGTGAGGACTGAGGATCCACCCTCACCCACATAGTGGGACCACAGAATCCAGCTCAGCCCCTCTTGTCAGCCCTGGTACACACTGGCAATGATCTCACCCCGAGCACACCCCTCCCCCCAATGCCACTTCGGGCCGACTCAGAGTCAGAGACTTGGTCTGAGGGGAGCAGACACAATCGGCAGAGGATGGCGGTCCAGGCTCAGTCTGGCATCCAAGTCAGGACCTTGAGGGATGACCAAAGGCCCCTCCCACCCCCAACTCCCCCGACCCCACCAGGATCTACAGCCTCAGGATCCCCGTCCCAATCCCTACCCCTACACCAACACCATCTTCATGCTTACCCCCACCCCCCCATCCAGATCCCCATCCGGGCAGAATCCGGTTCCACCCTTGCCGTGAACCCAGGGAAGTCACGGGCCCGGATGTGACGCCACTGACTTGCGCATTGGAGGTCAGAGGACAGCGAGATTCTCGCCCTGAGCAACGGCCTGACGTCGGCGGAGGGAAGCAGGCGCAGGCTCCGTGAGGAGGCAAGGTAAGACGCCGAGGGAGGACTGAGGCGGGCCTCACCCCAGACAGAGGGCCCCCAATAATCCAGCGCTGCCTCTGCTGCCGGGCCTGGACCACCCTGCAGGGGAAGACTTCTCAGGCTCAGTCGCCACCACCTCACCCCGCCACCCCCCGCCGCTTTAACCGCAGGGAACTCTGGCGTAAGAGCTTTGTGTGACCAGGGCAGGGCTGGTTAGAAGTGCTCAGGGCCCAGACTCAGCCAGGAATCAAGGTCAGGACCCCAAGAGGGGACTGAGGGCAACCCACCCCCTACCCTCACTACCAATCCCATCCCCCAACACCAACCCCACCCCCATCCCTCAAACACCAACCCCACCCCCAAACCCCATTCCCATCTCCTCCCCCACCACCATCCTGGCAGAATCCGGGCTTTGCCCCTGCAATCAACCCACGGAAGCTCCGGGAATGGCGGCCAAGCACGCGGATCCTGACGTTCACATGTACGGCTAAGGGAGGGAAGGGGTTGGGTCTCGTGAGTATGGCCTTTGGGATGCAGAGGAAGGGCCCAGGCCCTCCTGGAAGACAGTGGAGTCCTTAGGGGACCCAGCATGCCAGGACAGGGGGCCCACTGTACCCCTGTCTCAAACTGAGCCACCTTTTCATTCAGCCGCGGGAATCCTAGGGATGCAGACCCACTTCAGCAGGGGGTTGGGGCCCAGCCCTGCGAGGAGTCAAGGGGAGGAAGAAGAGGGAGGACTGAGGGGACCTTGGAGTCCAGATCAGTGGCAACCTTGGGCTGGGGGATCCTGGGCACAGTGGCCGAATGTGCCCCGTGCTCATTGCACCTTCAGGGTGACAGAGAGTTGAGGGCTGTGGTCTGAGGGCTGGGACTTCAGGTCAGCAGAGGGAGGAATCCCAGGATCTGCCGGACCCAAGGTGTGCCCCCTTCATGAGGACTGGGGATACCCCCGGCCCAGAAAGAAGGGATGCCACAGAGTCTGGCCGTCCCTTGTTCTTAGCTCTGGGGGAACCTGATCAGGGATGGCCCTAAGTGACAATCTCATTTGTACCACAGGCAGGAGGTTGGGGAACCCTCAGGGAGATAAGGTGTTGGTGTAAAGAGGAGCTGTCTGCTCATTTCAGGGGGTTGGGGGTTGAGAAAGGGCAGTCCCTGGCAGGAGTAAAGATGAGTAACCCACAGGAGGCCATCATAACGTTCACCCTAGAACCAAAGGGGTCAGCCCTGGACAACGCACGTGGGGGTAACAGGATGTGGCCCCTCCTCACTTCTGTTTCCAGATCTCAGGGAGTTGATGACCTTGTTTTCAGAAGGTGACTCAGGTCAACACAGGGGCCCCCATCTGGTCGACAGATGCAGTGGTTCTAGGATCTGCCAAGCATCCAGGTGGAGAGCCTGAGGTAGGATTGAGGGTACCCCTGGGCCAGAATGCAGACAGGGGGCCCCATAGAAATCTGCCCTGCCCCTGCGGTTACTTCAGAGACCCTGGGCAGGGCTGTCAGCTGAAGTCCCTCCATTATCCTGGGATCTTTGATGTCAGGGAAGGGGAGGCCTTGGTCTGAAGGGGCTGGAGTCAGGTCAGTAGAGGGAGGGTCTCAGGCCCTGCCAGGAGTGGACGTGAGGACCAAGCGGACTCGTCACCCAGGACACCTGGACTCCAATGAATTTGGACATCTCTCGTTGTCCTTCGCGGGAGGACCTGGTCACGTATGGCCAGATGTGGGTCCCCTCATCTCCTTCTGTACCATATCAGGGATGTGAGTTCTTGACATGAGAGATTCTCAAGCCAGCAAAAGGGTGGGATTAGGCCCTACAAGGAGAAAGGTGAGGGCCCTGAGTGAGCACAGAGGGGACCCTCCACCCAAGTAGAGTGGGGACCTCACGGAGTCTGGCCAACCCTGCTGAGACTTCTGGGAATCCGTGGCTGTGCTTGCAGTCTGCACACTGAAGGCCCGTGCATTCCTCTCCCAGGAATCAGGAGCTCCAGGAACCAGGCAGTGAGGCCTTGGTCTGAGTCAGTGTCCTCAGGTCACAGAGCAGAGGGGACGCAGACAGTGCCAACACTGAAGGTTTGCCTGGAATGCACACCAAGGGCCCCACCCGCCCAGAACAAATGGGACTCCAGAGGGCCTGGCCTCACCCTCCCTATTCTCAGTCCTGCAGCCTGAGCATGTGCTGGCCGGCTGTACCCTGAGGTGCCCTCCCACTTCCTCCTTCAGGTTCTGAGGGGGACAGGCTGACAAGTAGGACCCGAGGCACTGGAGGAGCATTGAAGGAGAAGATCTGTAAGTAAGCCTTTGTCAGAGCCTCCAAGGTTCAGTTCAGTTCTCACCTAAGGCCTCACACACGCTCCTTCTCTCCCCAGGCCTGTGGGTCTTCATTGCCCAGCTCCTGCCCGCACTCCTGCCTGCTGCCCTGACCAGAGTCATCATGCCTCTTGAGCAGAGGAGTCAGCACTGCAAGCCTGAAGAAGGCCTTGAGGCCCGAGGAGAGGCCCTGGGCCTGGTGGGTGCGCAGGCTCCTGCTACTGAGGAGCAGCAGACCGCTTCTTCCTCTTCTACTCTAGTGGAAGTTACCCTGGGGGAGGTGCCTGCTGCCGACTCACCGAGTCCTCCCCACAGTCCTCAGGGAGCCTCCAGCTTCTCGACTACCATCAACTACACTCTTTGGAGACAATCCGATGAGGGCTCCAGCAACCAAGAAGAGGAGGGGCCAAGAATGTTTCCCGACCTGGAGTCCGAGTTCCAAGCAGCAATCAGTAGGAAGATGGTTGAGTTGGTTCATTTTCTGCTCCTCAAGTATCGAGCCAGGGAGCCGGTCACAAAGGCAGAAATGCTGGAGAGTGTCCTCAGAAATTGCCAGGACTTCTTTCCCGTGATCTTCAGCAAAGCCTCCGAGTACTTGCAGCTGGTCTTTGGCATCGAGGTGGTGGAAGTGGTCCCCATCAGCCACTTGTACATCCTTGTCACCTGCCTGGGCCTCTCCTACGATGGCCTGCTGGGCGACAATCAGGTCATGCCCAAGACAGGCCTCCTGATAATCGTCCTGGCCATAATCGCAATAGAGGGCGACTGTGCCCCTGAGGAGAAAATCTGGGAGGAGCTGAGTATGTTGGAGGTGTTTGAGGGGAGGGAGGACAGTGTCTTCGCACATCCCAGGAAGCTGCTCATGCAAGATCTGGTGCAGGAAAACTACCTGGAGTACCGGCAGGTGCCCGGCAGTGATCCTGCATGCTACGAGTTCCTGTGGGGTCCAAGGGCCCTCATTGAAACCAGCTATGTGAAAGTCCTGCACCATACACTAAAGATCGGTGGAGAACCTCACATTTCCTACCCACCCCTGCATGAACGGGCTTTGAGAGAGGGAGAAGAGTGAGTCTCAGCACATGTTGCAGCCAGGGCCAGTGGGAGGGGGTCTGGGCCAGTGCACCTTCCAGGGCCCCATCCATTAGCTTCCACTGCCTCGTGTGATATGAGGCCCATTCCTGCCTCTTTGAAGAGAGCAGTCAGCATTCTTAGCAGTGAGTTTCTGTTCTGTTGGATGACTTTGAGATTTATCTTTGTTTCCTGTTGGAATTGTTCAAATGTTCCTTTTAACAAATGGTTGGATGAACTTCAGCATCCAAGTTTATGAATGACAGTAGTCACACATAGTGCTGTTTATATAGTTTAGGGGTAAGAGTCCTGTTTTTTATTCAGATTGGGAAATCCATTCCATTTTGTGAGTTGTCACATAATAACAGCAGTGGAATATGTATTTGCCTATATTGTGAACGAATTAGCAGTAAAATACATGATACAAGGAACTCAAAAGATAGTTAATTCTTGCCTTATACCTCAGTCTATTATGTAAAATTAAAAATATGTGTATGTTTTTGCTTCTTTGAGAATGCAAAAGAAATTAAATCTGAATAAATAATTCTTCCTGTTCACTGGCTCATTTCTTTACCATTCACTCAGCATCTGCTCTGTGGAAGGCCCTGGTAGTAGTGGGGATTCTAAGGTAAGCCAGACTCACGTCTACCCATAGGGTCATAGAGTCTAGGAGCTGCAGTCATGTAATTAAGGTGGCGAGAAGTCCTCTAGGATGTAGTGGAAATGTAAGACAGGGGTGAGGGTGTGGGGTTCCAGGTGAGAGTGGTGAGTATAAATGCCCTGAGCTGGGGCAATTTGGGATCTGGGAACCTGCAGTTCCTTCTGAAGGAGCTGATTCTAATGATGCCCGGTGGGTCCAGGGCCAGATTCTCAGAGGGTGAGAGAAAAGCCTGGAATGGAATGCTACCCTGAGCAGTTTCTTTAGGATGGGGATGAAGAGAGAGGAATCTCCACCTGGGGCTGGAATGGAAGGTGTCCTGTGTTTTTGCCCAATGCTGTTGAACACAGCCCAAGATCTAGGTGATGGACACCCATCATCTGCAAGGGTTTCCTGAGCGATAAGGCTGAATTTCCCAGGAAGGGTGACCCAGAAGCCACTGGCCAGGTGCTTTTCTTTTTTTTTTTTTTTTTTTTTTTTTTTTTTTTTTTTTTTGAGACGGAGTCTCGCTCTGTCGCCCAGGCTGGAGTGCAGTGGCGGGATCTCGGCTCACTGCAAGCTCCGCCTCCCGGGTTCACGCCATTCTCCTGCCTCAGCCTCCCAAGTAGCTGGGACTACAGGCGCCCGCCACTACGCCCGGCTAATTTTTTTTGTATTTTTAGTAGAGACGGGGTTTCACCGTTTTAGCAGGGATGGTCTCGATCTCCTGACCTCGTGATCCGCCCGCCTCGGCCTCCCAAAGTGCTGGGATTACAGGCGTGAGCCACCGCGCCCGGCCGGCCAGGTGCTTTTCTGCCAGGCAGGGAGAGCCAGAGCTGACTCCATTAAAAAGGCATTCTAACTAGGTTATCTCAAGTGCAATTTGACCAATTGTAAGCACGGGCTAGATTCTGGATGGTAACAAAGTGGATGAATATAGTGGTTTGGATGGGAAAGCAGCTGGGAGAGAGGGAAGGAGTTGGTCTTTGACTCACATTCTAGGAGCTTTGAGCTGCACCTGGCTGGGCAAAACTCCCGCACAACCAAATTTTGAAGTGCATTCTCTAAGAGGAAATACTTAACTGAATTTTATGGAAGAAGCTTCTGTTTGGGGCTAATTATTCCATGTCCTATTGAGCTGTATGTTCTCTGATAAGTCCTGGAGAACAACGACAACAACAACAAAATCCCAGTGTTCGGGCCTCGGGTTAAAGCATATTGGAAATAACAGCCATCCGCCATTTGTGAAACTTCCAATTTACACCAGGCCCGGAGCCAGGTGGTTCACCTGCGTTGCATACACTCCGACTGTCCTACTAGACAGGCCTTATCACATCTGCTTACAGATGAAGAATCCAGGGCTTACAGAGCTTGTGAATTGGGATATAAGAACAGGGTATTTCCTGGGTATTTCTCAGTATCACGTGGCTAGTAAGGAACAGGGCTGGAACCAGACCCCTGGCATGAATTCCTTTAGAGCCCATGCTGTCCCCACTTCTCCGAGCCCGAGGCTGACCTCCTGACAGCGACTTCATTTTTCTTCTCAGCACTGCACCATGTCTCTCAGGTGACAAAAAGAAGGACCTTGAGGCCAGCATAATGAAGCAGGCCTGGAGAACGCGACAGTGAGAATCAAACACCATTTGGGGCTGGTGTGCGCTAGGTTCCTTGAGAGCTAACTCTGCCCAGTTGTGGGCATTTCTCTGCAGCCCCAGCACTTTCAGAATTACAGCACATTTCCCCGGGTCACTTCCATGTGTCCTGTCTGACTCTGGAACCTATAGGGCCTGCTGATCAGCTCCTCACTGATCCTCACAGAACAGCCCAGAATCCCCTGCTCACCTCCTGACAGGGAGCATTCCTTCTCATAGTAGAAGTCCTCTGGCTGTTCCGTCTCTCACCCAGGAAGCCATATGATGTCAAAAACCCTTTTGTATAAAAACTCACACGGGGACAGTGACGCTTAGACACTTGGTTACCACTCTGGTTGTCTTCAACACACTCTCTAATCGTTTTCTGAATGGGCTGAGGAGTCTGATTCGCCATATTATCTAAGGGTTCTTGTGTGATGTCACCCTGAAGTTAGAGGGATTTGGAACCACCTTGATACTTGAAATCGGACTTTCACAGGGCGTCCTTTTGGAATTCGCCTCTGAATACATGCACAGATAAATGATCAAAGAGCAAACCGTCTCTCATGAGTATTAGATGAGAAAAACCTTGGGAAACCCCAGTGGAACAAACATCTACTTACTGAGGCTGAATTCCTAAATTTCTGGAGTCCTCCAGGAGTTTAAAAACTATACCTTGAAAACACGTCAACTCTAATGAAAGAGGAATAATTAAGCAGCCTTCTGTTTCTTGTCTGTTTACCTGCTCCACAGGAAAATACTGGCCTTCAGCGTGCCTACCTCGACAGGTGTACAGGCGTGTGGAGGGTAGCAGAAATTCACAGGTTAACATTTTGACCGGGAATCAAATGGAGGAACAATTCTCAGCCTACTAAGGATTTAAAGGATATTACAAAGGAAAGCCTTCCTGCTGAGACTTTCAAGATTCTTGAACAGTTAGTTGTGATCGTATGTTTGAAAACATCAGTCACATATTTGACACTGGAAAACGCTGGAGAACTTCAAGGTAAATTTGGCCTTCTCAGAAACTCCTCCTAGAAATGAGAAGGGTAGTATAATACCAAATGATCATAGTTGCTTTTTGTTGAGCACCCACTATGTAACAGTTTATGGGGAAGGGTATAGTACTCACCCACATTTTGTCTCTGTCTCCTTCCTGGACACATGGGAACAGTAAAGTCCTTGCAGTTAGGATCATGTGACTTTTCCTTTACACCAATACAGGAGCAGAAGCATTGTTTGTCACATCCAGGCATTTGAGAGCCAGTGTGCCATTTCCATGCTTTCTCTCCGCTTTCAACAGCAAACATGGCAGCTTCATCTTGAGATGACGGAATCAAAAGGTGGAAGCAGCTTGGATCCCTGGGTCATGTGAGAGTGGAGAGCCCCTGCCAAACCGCATCAGAACTTATTTGCACATAAAATAAACTTCTGTTGTGTCAAGCCATTCATGGTTGTTCTGTTGCATCAGCTAGCAATTACTTAAACTGACACGGCTAGTATTTCTGTTGTCAGTATTAAATATTTTTTATTTAAAATGTAGTTTGGTATATATTCTTATTTCAAAAATGATAGAAATGTAGATAATTCACAATTTTTTTTTTACAAAGCTCCTCCACAGTTAACAACACCCCCCGCCCCCCCGCAGAGGTCACCACAATTAACAATGTTGTGTATTATTTTACTGCTGACTCTAGGCTTTTCACTGACAAACTATAACAATATATTATTTTTATTCAATATACAAGAACAATGACATACATACTGATCTGCTTTTATCACTTTATAAAATGCATGTAGGATCTTTCGACAACAGTATAGATGATAGATAGATAGATAGATAGATAGATAGATAGATAGATAGATAGAGACAGGTAGATCTTTCTCACTTTTGAAACCACTTTCTATAATTCTAAAGTAGACATGCACCAAAATTAATTAAACTCTTTCTTCCTAATGGACATATAAGTTGTTTCCCATTTGCTATATGATAAATAGAATAAAATAAACATCTCTGCCTATGAATTTTAGGCAAACATGGTTTTCTTATAAGAAGGCTATATTAACATGGACATTGGGTTAAAGTGAAAGGGTGAAAATAGTTTAACATTTAAAATATTTCTAAAATGTTATTACAAAAGTGCTGTACCAATTCAAATTCTCATAAAAATCACAATTGATTTAAAATTCTGAAGTGTGGACAGGATATTTCTTCTCTGCTTTGAGAAGGATTTGGTGAGACTGAAGAGGAACCAGGGAAGGAGAGCAGACAGGAGACCCTCAGCCTGTGAGGGAGGATCCAGGGAGGATCCAGGAGAGAGCCATTGCTAGTGTCAATGACAGAGAGCACATGCAAAACCAAGTCCACTGAGACCCAGGCAGGCTGGCACTCCGAGCTCTAAATCCAGACTTCAGGCCGGTGGGGTCAGGAGCCTGAGGGAGAGAAGGGGGAAGGGAGGGGGCAGGACAGGACAATGAACAGGAATAGGCTTGGGAAATCCTGGCACCATCATCACCAGCTGGAGGAGGCCCTGTGATCTGAGTGGGTAAGCCTGTTGGCTGAATGCACCAGGGCTGTGCTGGTCAACCTTCCCGCCCTCAGAATCCCCTTCCCTCTCTCCGGAATAGTTTGGCTGGCTCCCTGCATCATTCTGGGCCAGCTACCTCTCTTGAACCCTCCAGTGGTCCTTTGCACCTTCGCCAGCATCCCAGATCTGGGAGAGGCCTTCATGCATGCTGGGGGCTGGTGTTTTATCCCCTGGGGGCCCTCCATAGAGGCTGGGCTATGTGAGTGTGTTGCTGACTGATGACCAACTGCCAAAACAGGCCAGGAATGCCCATGAGCAGTTGAAAGGGGCAGTGGGGCTGCATGGAGGAGAAATGGGAGGAAGAGTGCCCTGGGACTAGTCAGCTCAGACTCTGCAGATGAAGGATTGGCTGTGGACGTGCCTTGAAAATGAACCAGGTGGTGACTGCGTCTCAGATGGACTTCTGTGGCTTCTGAACTCTTGGCACACAAGAGGACTGGTGTCGTAGGGCAGTGATCGCTGGACTATGTTGCCAGCAGACACTGTCTGGCGTACAGGGCTGGCCCAAGGTGTGTACATGAGCAGGTTGTATGGCAAGGCGTTGGAGTTGGCAGCCTTCCTTGTTAAACTGATGGGGATGTGTGGGGTCCAATAAAGGAAACATCATGCACCATCCTGTTGGGAGCATCCTCACCTCCATGACGGTGTTTGGGCCTGGGGATAAGGCATCTGTAGTGACCCTCTCGTTGGTAGTTTCCACGGGTTTTTCTGAGCTCAAGTGAGCACAGGTGAAGGAACTGTGGGTTTCTTCATGCAGGTCGGAGGCCCAGGCCAGACCGACTCCATAATTTGAACCAAAGAATTCCCATGCCTGGTACTTTCATTCATTTCATGCACTTATTGATTCCTACAGAAAACTTTTATTCAATATATGCTGAGGAAACACCAAGTCAAAAAAACACAAGAAAGCAGCAGTGCCCTTAACTCAGTCTATGGGGGGCGTGAGGGAGATGGTGAGGTGGAAAGACACGGAAGAGTTTTAGGAAGTGAGGGACTGTGAACTGATGGAGAGAATCTCTATTGACCTGACTTCTGAGGTTGGTGACGTTGCTCCCTTAGTTGAGAGGGAGGGAGAAGGGTAAGAGTTGGTGGTGATTTGATGAAGAAGAGTGTGGAGGATGAGATCCGTGGGCAGCATTTTAAAGCTCAGTCTAGGATTTTTTTAGACATGGATGTTTTATGAAAATATATAGTGTTTTAACACCCACAGGTAGTGATGCACGTATTGATATGTCACATGCCTTTGCCACGTAATAAGATGAACGCAAGGTCTTCCCACAACTATACCTACAATCGACATCACTTTTGTAAGTATTCCCTAGAATTCTAAAGTAGGTGTGTGCCATAGTTAATTAAACCTTTCCTTTCCTGATAAACACATACGTTCATTCCCATTTGTTGCTATGATTAATAGAACTGAAATAAACATACGTTTTTGGACAGATATGCATGCTTTCCAATAAGAAAGATATAGTAACATGGACATTGGGTTAAAGTGGAAATGGTGTGAATAGTTTAACTTTTTAGAAGTATTGTCAAAATTTTATTCCAAAAATACTGTACCAATTAATTTTCTCACAAATTAATAGATGTGAATATCCTACACTCACAGAAAGATTTTGTGTTATCAATCTTCTCATTTTTGGTGAAAATTATGAATAAAATTTAGTGAAGAAATATTGTTTCACTGTTATTTTGTGTCTTTGCTTTCTCTAATTAGGTTAAGTACACACTAACTTAATCCCTCACCCATATGAAGTTGGATTTATACAGTGACATCCTGAGTAACATTTCTCTAGGCATGGTTTAACATTCTGAAATGGGGACAGGACATTTCTCTTGTGCTTTGAGAAGGAATTGGTCAGAATGAACAGGAGCCAGGGAAGGAGAGCAGACAGGACACCCTCAGCCCATGAGGGTAATCGGGAGGATCCAGCACTGATATGGTTTGATTGTTTCCCCACCCAAATCTCATCTTGAATTGTAGCTCCCATAACCTCCACGTGTCATGGGAGGGATCAGGTGGGAGGTAATTGAATCACAGGGATAAGTTTTTCCCATGCTGTTCTCGCCGTAGTAAATAAGTCTTAGGAGATCTGATGTTTTCACAAAGGGCAGTTCCCCTGCACATGCTCTCTTGCCTGCTGCCATGTGAGACATATCTTTGCTCCTCCTTCCCCTTCTGCCATGATTGTGAGGCCTTCCCAGCCATGTAGAACTGTCAGTCCATTAAACCTCTTTTTTTTATTATTATAAATTACCCAGTCTCAGGTATTTCTTCATAGCAGTATGAAAATGAACAAATACAAGGGGAGAGCAATGGCCAGAGTCCATGAGAGAGACCGTATATGAAACCAAGTCCACATTTCCCCAGGCAGGCTGGCATTCAGAGGTCTGAATCCAGAGTTCAGCTCGGTGGAGGCAGGGACCTGAGGGAGAGAAGGGCGAAGAGAGGGGTGAGGGCAGGACAATGAAAAGGAATAGGCTTGGGAAATTCCAGCACCATCATCACTAGCTGGAGGGGGCCGTGTGATCTGAATGGGCAGGCCTGTTGATGGAATGCACCAGCGATGTGCTGGAGACGCAACCCTCCCTCAGAATCCCCTTCCCTCTCTCACGAAGAGTATGGCTGGCTCCCTGCATCATTCCGGGCAAGCTCCCTCTCTTGACCACTCCAGTGGTCGTGTGTACCATTTCCAGCGTCCCGGGGCAGGGAGTTGTCTCATGCCTGCTGGGGGCTGCTGTTTTATCCCCTGTGAACTCTCCATGGAGCCTGGACTATGTGAATGGGTTGCTGACTTTTGAGCAACAGCCAAGACAGGCCAGAAATATTTATGAGCAGTGGAAGGTGAGGGTGGCAGCAAGGCTGCATGGAGGGGAATTTGGAGGAAGAGTACCCTAGGACTAGTCAGCTGCGACTCTGCAGATGAAGGATTGGCTGTGGATGTGCAATGAGAATGATCCAGGTGGTGACCATGTCTCAGATGGACTTCTGAGGCTTCTGAGCTCTTGAGACAAAAGCAGACAGGTATCCTGGGGCTCTAATCACTGGCCTATGATGCCACCAGACAGTGTCTGGGGTAGAGGGCTGGTCCAAGGTGTGTATGTGAGCAGGTTGGATGGCAAGGCAGTGCAGATGGCACCCTTCCTTGTTAAACTGATGGGGACGTGTGGGGTCCAATACAGGAGGCATCATGCACAATACTGTTGGGAGCATCCTCACCTCCATGATAGTGTTTGGGCATGGGGAGTAGGCATCTGCAGTGATGCTCTCAATGATAGTTTCCAGGGGATTTCTAAACTCAAGTGAGCACAGGTGATGGAACTGTGGGTTTCTTCAGGTAGGCGGGAGGCCAAGGCAGGGGCAGCCTCCACGTTTTGAATCAATGAACTCCCATGCCTGGTAATTTCATTCATTCATGCACTTATTGATTCCTACAGAAAACTTTTATTGAATATATGCTGAGGAAACAGCAAGTCAACAAAACAAAAGAAAGTGGCAAGGCCCTTAATACTGTCTGTAAGGGGATGGGGGAGATGGAGAGGAGGTGTGAATCGCCCATCTGAGCCAGGGAGTCCAGGAAGGCAGAGCCAGACTTGGGGACAGGCAGTGTGCAACAAAGGGAGTGACAGCCTGTGTCCAGGCAAGCAAGCGCTCTTTCTATGACACTATCAATCTGGTTTTCCTCCTGGATGTTGCCTGTGTGTGAAAGCAACTGCTGTTCTCTGTGCCTGCCTGCCTCTGTTAATAGGGAAAATGCTAATGGTTGGCAGATGCTCACTTCTGCTCACCTTGGGTCACCTCTACTGAAGGGATGGTTTGACAGCAAAAGGACAGGAAGAAACTTTTGGGGAGTATGAATATATTTTGCACCTTCTATGTGGTTGTGATTTCATGGGACTACACATTTGTCAAAACTGTTTAAATTGTTTCTCAGTATTTAGGAGAAAAAGTAAGCAGAAAACCAGGAAGGATATAGATGACCTGAAAAGCACCATTAACTACTCTGACCAATTAAAATAATGAGAAAAGCACTGCATTCAACAACAGCAGAATAAACATTCCTCTCAAGTGTGCATGAAATATTTCCCAGGATAGATGGTATTCTGGGCCATCAAACAAAGCTTACAAATTGAAAAAAAAAATAGAAATAATAAAAAGCCTCTTCTTAGACCATAATATAATTAAATTCAAAACCAAACACCAAGATATCTGAAAAATGCCCAAATATTGGAAATTTTAAAATATGCTCCTAAATAACCTATGGGTCAAAGAGGGAGTCTCAGGAGAATTTTAAAAATACATTAAGTTGAATGAAAATAAAAATATACATACAAAAATGGGATTCAGCTAAAGTGTTTCCTTGAGGGAAATGTATAGCATATTTTATGTTTATATTAGAAAATGAAATCTAAAATCAATAACCAAAACTTTCACCCTAGGAATCCAAAGAACGAAGAGCAATTTGAATTTAAAGAAATTGTAGAGGATCCCCCCATCCCTTCCCACATTCCCACCTCTTCCCCTTAAGCCCTACCCCCAACCTTTGAGACACACAGACACACACATCATTTTACAACATGTTCATTTTATTTCTATCACCATGGGGCATACCCTTTGGGGTGTAAAACGTACTCTACACCCTGTTGGCTATTTATCTGGGGTTAGACTTCTGGAGACTTTTCAGATAGACTTGAAGTCTCTGGCCTTGCCTGGGAATTACTGGCTGCCCAAGGAAGCACTGGAGAAGGCGGTGGTCTCCTTGCCCTTGTGGTCCTGCTGTGGCGCATTTTGATTGAGTTCCTGGTTCGGCTGGTCAGAGTGGCTGGATAGTGTTGGCCCACTCCATTCCTCAGGTTTTTTTGAAGCGGTGGTCTTTTAGGGAGAGCCTTTTGTTCCTGGAACTTCCTTGACGGGTCCCTTTTCCCTTTTGGGTTGTCTTGGGAACCTGGAAAGCCAACAGGGAGATCACAGGAGGGCACTGGTTTGGGGAAGAGGATGGAGGAGGGGTGAGAACAGGGGTTTCATAGAGAAATGGTACAGGCTGGGGTGGGGGTTGTGCCAGGGGAGGACAGGGTAGGAGTCAGAGCTTGGGTGGGCCATTCACTTTGATAGGGCTTCTGGGCCAGGGATGAGAGGATGCTTTCCCCTTCCTCGCCTCTTTGGTGTTGATGGGTGGTTGTTGGAAAATGGGCTGGAGGCTCGTGGTTTCCTGGACATCTTCACCAGACCAGTGTCTCTGTACAGTCTACTCCAGTCCACCTGGTCTCCCCGAGCTTCCCCCAGGACAGTGAAGGCAGGCCAGCAGGCTAGAAACTCACACGACATTATTATGTTAGTCTTGTGGTAGAATTCCTTTTCCAAGAAACCTTGGTCTTTTAACACCTTCAACTAATTGGATGAGGCCTATCCACATTATGGAAGTTAAATTGCTTTACTTAAAGTCAACTGATTGTAAATGTTGATCACATCTACAAAATACCTTCACAGCAACATCTAGACTACTGTTTGACCACACAGCTGAGCAGTATAGCCTAGACAAGTTGACACATAATACTAGCCACTGCAAATATCTTGCACCGTACAAAAATGTGACTCAAAATGAACCGCAGTCTTAAATGCCAAAATTACGGGCTTTTTTTCTAGGAGGAAACAAAAAAAAATTGTGTTACCTGAGGTTATGTACTAGTCAGCTCAGGCTAGAATAACAAAATGTCATTGACTGAGTAGCTGGAACAACAGAAATTTATCTTTTTTCACAGTTTTGAAGTCTGGAAGTCCCAGATCAAGGACTGGCGGGGTTGGCTTCTGGTGATGGCCTTATTCCTGGCTTGTAGATGGCCCTTTCTCAATATGTCCATTCTTGGCCCTTCCTCTGTGCATGTGCAGAGAGCGCGCGAGAGAGACAGCAAGCTCATGCAGGCACAAAAATGCTATCTTCTGTCTCTTCTCCCTTCTTATAACCACACTAATTCTATGGGATCAAGGCCCCACCCTTATGACCTCTTTTAACATTAATCACTTCCTTAGAAGCCTCATCACCAAATACAGACACCCTGGGGCTGAGGGCTTCAAAATATGAATTTGGTGGAGGACCTAAGCATTAGCAAAGAATAGACACACAGATTAATAAAACAGAATAGAGCTCAGAAATAGACCTGCACACATATAGTCAGGTGATTCACAACAAAGGCAATAATGGTGAAAGTACAGGTTTTCCAACAAAAGGTGTCGGAACAATTAGACACCTATACACAAATTATAATAACCTGGACATATCCTTACATATTCCATGAAAACTAACTCAAGATACATCATAGGTCTAATGAAAAATGCAAAAACAATACAACCTCTATAAGAAAACATGAGAGAAATCCACATAACTTTGAGTTTGGAGATGAGTTTTTAAATTCAACACCAAAAGCATGATCAAGGAAAGAAAAATTTGCCAAGTTGATTTTATTAAAATAAACATCATGTGCTCTTCAAAAGACAATGTTAAGAGAATGAAAACAGAAGCCACAGACTAGCAGAAAACATCTGCGGTACACATATGTGATAAAGAACTTGTCTCTACAATATATGCGAATTCTTAAAGCTCAGCGATAGAAAAAAATGAAAATAGTCAAAGATCTGAACACACACTACACAAAAGAAGATACACACATGGCAAATAAGCATAATAAATGTACTAAGCGTGTTTTGTCATTAGATAATTGTGTACTAAAATGAGATACCACTACACACCTATTAGTATGTCCAAAATCCATAAAAAAGCAAAACAAAGCAAACAAAACCAAGACCAATTGCCAGGGAAGATGTGGAGCAACAGAAACTCTCATTCATAGCTCGTGGAAATGCAACATGGCACAGCCACTTTGGAAGACAATTTGGCGTTTTCTTAAAAAACGGAACATAGACTTAGCGTAAGATTCAGCAGCCATACTCAATCAATTTACCCAATTGATTTGAAAACTTATGTCTACATAAAAATTTGTATATGAATGTATACAATAGCTTATTTCACAATCACCAAAAATAGCAGCATCCAAAATGTATTTCATTTGGTGAATGGATTATATATATATATATATATATATATATATATATATATATATATATATATATATACATACACATACACACACACACGCATTAAAATATGGTACACCCAATGATACTACTACTCCTCAATGAAAAGGAATAAGTTACAAGCTGCACAAAGTTTTACATGACTCTTCAGTTCATTATGCTAAACGAGTCTAAAGAAACGAGTCTAGAAAGAAACGAGTCTAAAAAGGCTACATAGTATACGAGTCTATTTATATGACATTCAGGAAAAGGCAAAATTATAAAGATGAAAAACCTATCAGTGGCAGCCAAGGGGGTTATCTGACAAGCACAGGGGATTTATCAGGGCAGTGAAACTAGTATGGTAATACTGTAATGGTGGTTCCGTGCTTGCTTTCATCTGAATATTTGTGTTCCCACAAACTTCATCTGCTGAAATACCAAGGTGATGGTATTAGGTAGAAGGTGGGGTATTTGGAGAATGACTAGATCATGAGAGCAGAGTCCTCATGAATGGGATCAGTGTTTTTATAAAATAGTCCCCACAGAGATCCCTTGCCCCTTCTTCCATGCAAGGACATAGGGAAAAGGCAGGTGTCTATGAACTAGGGAGCAGGACTCCACCAGACATGAAATCTGCCAGCACCTTGATCTTGGACTTTCCAACCTCCAGAATGTGAGAAATAAAGTTGTGTTGTTTATAAGCCACCCAGTCTACACTATTTTTGTTATGGAAGCCCAAACGGACTAAGACAATGGCAAGAGGCATTTGTCAAAACCCATAGATCTTTACAGCACAAAGAGTGAAGCTTAAGGTATGTAACGTCTAAAAGTAACTTAAGAGGTTGGAGAATCACAGAACAGAATGTAAAATGTTACACACACAGAAACCTAGCTGTATTATAGATGTATGAAACCACCACAGTGAAGCAAGTGGGGGGAAAGTTATCATATTTGGGTACTTCATCAAAGAAATATATATTTTATAAAGTATATGTCTTCCAGATAAGTTTGTAAAATAGTTGAACATTTGATAATCATTTATTTAATTTTTTAGATATCAATGCTATTGGGTTTTTGTTTAATAAAAAGTCCTTTTCCTTTAAAATGCATGTTAAATTGTTTAGAGATGAAATGGTCTAATGCCTTAGATTGGCTCCACGTTATTACAGAAGCTCATATGCAGGTAGGCGAGTGTCTAACTGGAACCAGCTTTGCTGTGTATTTAAAGTTGTTCATGCTCGGTATCAAGTATCCTGGGTTCATAATATTAGTTTCTGTTATTCTGTATGTGTGAAGGCTTTCCCTAATAAAACGTTTTTTATCACAAATATGCCATTAAAAGTGAAATCCTAAATGAAACTGACCACTTCATAGAAATAAAATACATCAGTAACCAAACTGATCCAAAAAGAAAAAGAAAACTTTAATTAAACTATACAAACTGAAACTGTACAATATTCAAAGCTCAAGCCACCCTCAAACATTCCAGGTTAGGCAGTTTTGGAGGCCAATTCTACCAAATGATCAGGGAAAACTAACCACCATCTTATATCAACTCTTCCAAAACATACAAAAGATTGACAATTGTTCAGTTCATTCTCCCAGACTAGCCCTCCTGGATTCAAAATCAGATGAGGACCACATCCCTCCCCGATGGAAAAAGAACACACCAAGTAAGCTCCCTTACCTAGCAGTAAATACCTTACCTAAATTAGTAGCATATTAAACAAATAGACAGGCTCTGCCCAAGGAAATAACATATGATTTAACATCAGAAAAAAAAAAAACGGTTTCATTGTAATTCCTTACATACAAAATGGAGGAGAAAAAATTTGATCCTGTCAAAGGGTACAGAAAAAGCTTTTTAAAGACATTTAATGAGTTTATGGAAAAAAGAAAATATTTATTTAACCTATATTCAAAGAGCACTTCCATTTCCTAAAATCAACAGCAAACATACTTAAATGTCAAATGTTCGAAGAACTATCATTCCAGTCAGGAACGAGAAGTAGATGAAGCCTATTATCTCTACGTTTGAAATCAGGATTGAGACACAAAAAGCTATAAGTATCAAAATGAGTAAGTGGTATGAATATTGGAAAAACATGTAATGTTTAGTGATAATACCATTATCGATCTTGAAAATTCAAAGGAAAAGGCATGTGGAATATTCAAGTGCATCGGCCTTCAGAATGAGGTGTGCAACAGATTACTACAGCAAAATCAAAATCTTCACCTCACGAAAGCAATAACTAACTACAGCAATTAATAGACAATATGCCATTTGCAATAGCAATAAAATCCAAGAATTACCTGAATAGAAGTCTAATAAAAATGTATAAGCTGCTTATAGAGGCAACTATCGAAGTATACTGACATATTCAGGAAAAAATAGCTTGACATACATAGAGGAGTATAACATATTCATTCATGGGGAACACAACAGTGTAAAAATGTAAACTCAGCTTAAATTATTTACAATTTAGTGCCTTACCTGTAGTCGCCGACATTACAAGCAAATTTGGGCTGCTGTGCTCTGCTTCCCAAATCAACCCTGTAAATTTATAGAATGGAAACAGAAAGTAAAAAACCAGTATTAGCAAGAAAATCTACACAACAAAACAGGGCCAGTCCAGGGTGAGACTGAAGACCTTGTTGAGCTGGTACTTGTGTGTGACACTTGCCGTGTCGGTTAGAGGGGGTTAGCGGCAGGGATGTTGGGGAGGTTTGTAGCCTGCCTAGACGGCAGATAACAGAATGGGTAGAATAAAAGTTTTAAAATTTCCACTTCACTTCATTGCACAATCTGAGGCAGCTCCTGAAAACACGATGCCAAGAGCCCTAGGTAATAGCAGGACACCAGGAAAATTGGGTTTGTTAAGGCAGCATGGCTCCAGAGTTCTGCTAATAACAACCTGAAACCAACATAGTGGGAGAGGAATTACGTTTAAAAAAAAATTCCTTCAACAGAACACAAAGACTGGAATAGAAGTAGATTAGGATAGTAAGAGTGAACGATGCATACTAAGGGTAGGTGTTAGTTCGTAGAAATAAATATATATATCGCTACCTACATATATACTTGGAAGATATGTAAACCGTATTTCTTCAATTCAGTGAATAAATCATTTAGGACCAAAGGTTTGCCAAGTGTAGCTCTGGCTGGAGAGGAGCTCCCGTGGGAAAGTGTCTGTCTTCTTCCAGAGGTCAATACGATCGTGGGAGCTCCCGCCCTGCAGGGAGCTCCTGGCCTGGGACCCGCAGCCATTCTCTACAAGGGGTGCAGCTGTGCAAATGCACAGACGTTACAGAAACAGAGTATCTCCTGCCAATCACTTCATCCAACAGCCAGGAGTGAGGAAGAGGACCCTCTTGAGTGAGGACTGAGGGTCCACCCTCCCCCACGTAGTGGGACCACAGAATCCAGCTCAGTCCCTCTTGTCAGCCCTGATAAACTTAGGCAATAATGTCACCCCGACCGCACCCCTCCCCCAGTGCCACTTCAGGGGGACTCAGAGTCAGAGACTTGGTCTGAGGGGAGCAGACACAATCGGCAGAGGATGGCGGTCCAGGCTCAGCCTGGCATCCAAGTCAGGACCTTGAGGGATGACCAAAGGCCCCTCCCACCCCCAACTCCCCCAACCCCACCAGGATCTACAGCCTCAGGATCCCCGTCCCTATCCCTACCCCTACCCCCAACACCATCTTCATGCTTACCTCCACCTCCATCTGGATCCCCATCCAGGAAGAATCCAGTTCCACCCCTGCTGTGAACCCAGGGAAGTCACGGGGCCGGATGTGACGCCACTGACTTGCGCGTTGGAGGTCAGAGAACAGCGAGATTCTCGCCCTGAGCAACGGCCTGACGTCGGTGGAGGGAAGCAGGCGCAGGCTCCGTGAGGAGGCAAGGTAAGATGCCGAGGGAGGACTGAGGCGGGCCTCACCCCAGACAGAGGGCCCCCAATAATCCAGCGCTGCCTCTGCTGCCAGGCCTGGACCACCCTGCAGGGGAAGACTTCTCAGGCTCAGTCGCCACCACCTCACCCCGCCACCCCCCGCCGCTTTAACCGCAGGGAACTCTGGTGTAAGAGCTTTGTGTGACCAGGGCAGGGCTGGTTAGAAGTGCTCAGGGCCCAGACTCAGCCAGGAATCAAGGTCAGGACCCCAAGAGGGGACTGAGGGTAACCCCCCCGCACCCCCACCACCATTCCCATCCCCCAACACCAACCCCACCCCCATCCCCCAACACCAAACCCACCACCATCGCTCAAACATCAACGGGACCCCCAAACCCCGATTCCCATCCCCACCCATCCTGGCAGAATCGGAGCTTTGCCCCTGCAATCAACCCACGGAAGCTCCGGGAATGGCGGCCAAGCACGCGGATCCTGACGTTCACATCTGTGGCTCAGGGAGGGAAGGGGGTCGGTATCGTGAGTACGGCCTTTGGGAAGCAGAGGATGGGCCCAAGCCCCTCCTGGAAGATAATGGAGTCCGGAGGGCTCCCAGCATGCCAGGACAGGGGCCCAAAGTACCCCTGTCTCAAACTGAGCCACCTTTTCATTCGGCCGCGGGAATCCTAGGGATACAGACCCACTTCAGCAGGGAGTTGGAGCCCAGCCCTGCGAGGAGTCAAGGGGAGGAAGAAGAGGGAGGACTGAGGGGACCTTGGAGTCCAGATCAGTGGCAACCTTGGGCTGGGGGATCCTGGGCACAGTGGCCTAATGTGCCCCATGCTCATTGCGACTTCAGGGTGACAGATTTGCGGGCTGTGGTCTGAGGAGTGGCACTTCAGGTCAGCAGAGGGAGGAATCCCAGGATCTGCCGGACCCAAGGTGTGCCCCCTTCATGAGGACTGGGGATACCCCCGGCCCAGAAAGAAGGGATGCCACAGAGTCTGGCTGTCCCTTATTCTTAGCTCTAAGGGAACCCGATCAGAGATAGCTCCAATTGGCAATGTCATTTGTACCACAGGCAAGAGGTTGGGGAACCCTCAGGGAGATAAGGTGTTGGTGTAAAGAGGAGCTGTCTGCTCATTTCAGGGGGTTGGGGGTTGAGGAAGGGCAGTCCCTGGCAGGAGTAAAGATGAGTAACCCACAGGAGGCCATCAGAAGCCTCACCCTAGAACCAAAGGGGTCAGCCCTGGACAACCTACCTGGGAGTGACAGGATGTGGCTCCTCCTCACTTCTGTTTCCAGATCTCAGGGAGTTGAGGACCTTTTCTTCAGAGGGTGACTCAGGTCAACACAGGGGCCCCCATGTAGTCGACAGACACAGTGGTCCTAAGATCTACCAAGCATCCAGGTGAGAAGCCTGAGGTAGGATTGAGGGTACCCCTGGGCCAGAACGCTGACAGAGGGCCCCACAGAAATCTGCCCTGCCCCTGCTATTCCCTCAGAGAGCCTGGGCAAGGCTACCTGCTGAGGTCCCTCCATTATCCTGGGATCTTTGATGTCAGGGAAAGGGAGGCCTTGGTCTGAAGGGGCTGCACTCAGGTCAGTAGAGGGAGGCTCTCAGGCCCTAGCAGGAGTAGTGGTGAGGACCAAGCAGGCTCGTCACCCAGGACACCTGGACTCCAATGAATTTGGACATCTCTCATTGTCCTTTGTGGGAGGATCTGGTTATGTATGGCCAGATGTTGGTCCCCTCATGTCCTTCTGTACCGTATCAGGGATGTGAATTCTTGCCATGAGAGTTTCTTTGGCCAGCAAAAGGGCGGTATTAGGCCCTGCAAGGAGAAAGGTGAGGGCCCTGAGTGAGCACAGAAGGGACCCTCCACCCCAGTAGAGTGGGGACCTCACAGAGTCTGGCCGACCCTCCTGACAATTTTGGGAATCTGTGGCTGTACTTGCAGTCTGCACCCTGAGGCCCATGGATTCCTCTCCCAGGAATCAGGAGTTCCAAGAACAAGGCAGTGAGGCCTTGGTCTGAGGCAGTGTCCTGAGGTCACAGAGCAGAGGGGGTGCAGACAGTGCCAACACTGAAGGTTTGCCTTGAATGCACACCAAGGGCCGCACCGGCCCCAGAACACATGGGACTCCAGAGCGCCTGGCCTCACCCTCCCTACTGTCATTCCTTCAGCCTCAGCATGTGCTGGCCGGCTGTACCCTGAGGCGCCCTCTCACTTGTTCCTTCAGGTTCTGAGGAGACAGGCCCCGGAGCAGCACTAGCTCCTGCCCACACTCCTACCTGCTGCCCTGACCAGAGTCATCATGCCACTTGAGCAGAGGAGTCAGCACTGCAAGCCTGAGGAAGGCCTTGAGGCCCAAGGAGAGGCCCTGGGCTTGGTGGGTGCGCAGGCTCCTGCTACTGAGGAGCAGGAGACTGCCTCCTCCTCCTCTACTCTAGTGGAAGTCACCCTGCGGGAGGTGCCTGCTGCCGAGTCACCAAGTCCTCCCCACAGTCCTCAGGGAGCCTCCACCCTCCCCACTACCATCAACTATACTCTCTGGAGTCAATCCGATGAGGGCTCCAGCAACGAAGAACAGGAAGGGCCAAGCACCTTTCCTGACCTGGAGACGAGCTTCCAAGTAGCACTCAGTAGGAAGATGGCTGAGTTGGTTCATTTTCTGCTCCTCAAGTATCGAGCCAGGGAGCCATTCACAAAGGCAGAAATGCTGGGGAGTGTCATCAGAAATTTCCAGGACTTCTTTCCTGTGATCTTCAGCAAAGCCTCCGAGTACTTGCAGCTGGTCTTTGGCATCGAGGTGGTGGAAGTGGTCCGCATCGGCCACTTGTACATCCTTGTCACCTGCCTGGGCCTCTCCTACGATGGCCTGCTGGGCGACAATCAGATCGTGCCCAAGACAGGCCTCCTGATAATCGTCCTGGCCATAATCGCAAAAGAGGGCGACTGTGCCCCTGAGGAGAAAATCTGGGAGGAGCTGAGTGTGTTGGAGGCATCTGATGGGAGGGAGGACAGTGTCTTTGCGCATCCCAGGAAGCTGCTCACCCAAGATTTGGTGCAGGAAAACTACCTGGAGTACCGGCAGGTCCCCGGCAGTGATCCTGCATGCTACGAGTTCCTGTGGGGTCCAAGGGCCCTCGTTGAAACCAGCTATGTGAAAGTCCTGCACCATTTGCTAAAGATCAGTGGAGGACCTCACATTTCCTACCCACCCCTGCATGAATGGGCTTTTAGAGAGGGGGAAGAGTGAGTCTGAGCACGAGTTGCAGCCAGGGCCAGTGGGAGGGGGTCTGGGCCAGTGCACCTTCCAAGGCCCCATCCATTAGTTTCCACTGCCTCGTGTGATATGAGGCCCATTCTTCACTCTTTGAAGAGAGCAGTCAGTATTGTTAGTAGTGAGTTTCTGTTCTATTGGATGACTTTGAGATTTATCTTTGTTTCCTGTTGGAATTGTTCAAATGTTCCTTTTAACGGATGGTTGAATGAACTTCAGCATCCAAGTTTATGAATGACAGTAGTCACACATAGTGCTGTTTATATAGTTTAGGAGTAAGAGTGTTGTTTTTTATTCAGATTGGGAAATCCATTCCATTTTGTGAATTGTGACAAATAACAGCAGTGGAAAAAGTATGTGCTTAGAATTGTGAAAGAATTAGCAGTAAAATACATGAGATAAAGACCTCAAGAAGTTAAAAGATACTTAATTCTTGCCTTATACCTCACTCTATTCTGTAAATTTGAAAAAAAAGCATGGATACCTGGATATCCTTGGCTTCTTTGAGAATTTAAGAGAAATTAAATCTGAATAAATAATTCTTCCTGTTCACTGGCTCATTTATTTTCCATTCACTCAGCATCTGCTCTGTGGAAGGCTCTGCGTTAGTAGTGCGGATGCTAAGGTAAGCAAGACTCACGCCTACCCGTAGGGTTGTAGAGCCTAGGACCTGCAGTCATATAATTAAGGTGGCAAGAAGTCCTGTAAGATGTAGAGGAAATATAAGAGAAGGGTGAGGGTGTGGGGTTCCAGGAGGGAGTTGTGGAGTGTAAATGCCCTGAGCTGGGGCATTTTGGACTTTGGGAACCTGCAGTTCCTTCTGAAGGAGCTGACTCTGATGAAGCTGGGTGGGTCCAGGGCCCACAGATTCTCAGTGAATGAGAGAAAAGCCTGGAATGGAAAGCAACTCTGAGTAGTTTATTTCGGATGGGGGATGAACAGAGAGGAATCTCCACCTGGGGCTGGAATAGAAGGTGTCCTGTGCTTTTGTCCCACTGCTATTGAACACAACCCAAGATCTAGGTGATGAAAATCTATCATCTGCAAGGGTTTCCTGAGCGATAAGGCTGAATTTCCCAGGAAGGGTGACCCAGAAGCCACTGGCCAGGTGCTTTTCTGCCAGGCAGGGAGAGCCAGAGCTGACTCCATTAAAAAGGCATTCTAACTAGGTTATCTCAAGTGCAATTTGACCAATTGTAGGCGTGGGCCAGATTTTGGATGGTAACAAAATGGATGAAAATAGTGGTTTGGGTGGGAAAGCAGCTGGGAGAGATGGAAGGAATTGGTCTTTGACACACATTCTAGGAGTTTTGGGTTGCACCTGGCTGGGCAAAACTCCCGCACACACAAAGTTTGAAGTGCATTCTCTAAGAGGAAATACTTAACTGAATTTTACAGGTGAAGCTTCCTTTTTGGCCTAATTATCCCATGTCCTGTTGAGCTGTATATTTTCTGATGACTCCTGGAGAACAACGACAACAACAACAAAGTCCCAGAGTGTTAATGCCTAGGCTTTAAAAATATTAGAAATAACAGCCATCGGCCATTTGTTAAACTTCTAATTTCCACCACGCCCGGAGTTTCTGTTGCTCCACATCTTCACTGGCAATTGGTCTTGGTTTTGTTTTGCTTTTTTATGGGTTTTAGACATTCTAATAGGTGTGTAGTAGTATCTCACTTTAGTACACAATTATCTAATGCCAAAGGACACTCAGTATTTTATTATGCTTATTTGCCCTGTGTGTATCTTCTTTTGTGTAGATTGTGTTCAGATCTTTGACTATTTTCATTTTTTTCTATCATTGAGCTTTAAGAATTCGTATATATTGTAGAGACAAGTTCTTTATCACATATGTGTACCACAGATTTTTTCTGCTAGACTGTGGCTTGTTTTCATTCTCTTAACATTGTCCTTTGAAGAGCATAAAATTTTTATTTTAATAAAATCAACTTGGCAAATTTTTCTTTCCTTGATCATGCTTTTGGTGTTGAATTTAAAAACTCATCACCAAACTCAAAGTTATGTGGATTTTCTCTTATGTTTTCTTTTAGAGGTTGTATAGTTCTTGTATTTTTCATCAGGTCTATGATGTATTGAGTTAATTTTCGTGCAATATGTAAGGATATGTCTAGGTTATTATAATTTGTGTATAGGTGTCTAATTGTTCAGGCACCTTTTGTTGGAAAACCTGTACTTTCACCATTATTGCCTTTGTTGTGAATCACCTGACTATGTGTGTGCAGGTCTATTTCTGAGCTCTATTCTGTTTTATTAATCTATGTGTCTATTCTTTGCTAATGCTTATGTCCTCCACCAAATTCATATTTTGAAACCCTCAGCCCCAGGGTGTCAGTATTTGGAGATGAGGCTTCTAAGGTAGTAATTAATGTTAAAAGAGGCCATAAGGGTGGGAGCTTGATCCCACAGAATTAGTGTGATTGTAAGAAGGGAGAAGAAACAGAAGAAAGTACTTTTGTGCCTGCATGACTTCTCTCTCTCTCTCTCTTTCTTTCTCTCTCTCTCTTCCTCTCTCTCTCTCTGCACATACACAGAGGAAAGGCCAAGAACTGACAAATTAATAAAGGGCCATCTACAAGCCAGGAATAAGGCCATCACCAGAAGACAACCCCGCCAGTCCTTGATCTGGGACTTCCACATTTCAAAACTGAAAAAAGATAAATTTCTGTTGTTTCAGCTACTCAGTCAATGGCATTTTGTTATGGCAGCCTAAGCTAAGACATAACCTCAGGTAACACAATTTTTTTTGTTTTGTCCTAGAAAAAAAAAGCAATGTAATTGTGACATATAAAGTCTGTGGCTCATTTTGAGTTACATTTTTGTATGGTGCAAGATATGTGCAACGGCTAGTATTATGTGTCAACTTGTCTAGGCTATACTGCTCAGCTGTGTGGTCAAACAGTAGTCTAGATGTTGCTGTGAAGGTATTTTGTAGATGTGATCAACATTTACAATCAGTTGACTTTAAGTAAAGCAGTTTAACTTCCATAATGTGGATAGGCCTCATCCAATTAGTTGAAGGTGTTAAGAGAAAAGACCAAGGTTTCCTGGAAAAGGAATTCTACCACAAGACTAACATAAAAATGCGCTGTGAGTTTCTAGCCTGCTGGCCTGCCTTCACTGTCCTGGGGGAGGCATGGAGAGACCAGGTGGACTGGAGTAGACTGTTGAGAGACACTGGTCTGGTGAAGATGTCCAGGAAACCACGAGCCTCCAGCCCATTGTCCAACAACCACCCACCAACACCAAAGAGGTGAGGAAGTGGAAAGCATCCTCTCAACCCTAGCCCAGAAGCCCTATCAAAGTGAACGGCCCACCGAAGCTCTAAATCCTACCCTGTCCTCCCCTGGCACAACCCCCACCCCACCCTGCCCCATTTCTCTATGAAGCCCCTGTTCTCACCCCTTCTCCATCCTCTTCCCCAAACCAGTGCCCTTCTTTGATCTCCTGGTTGGTTTTCCAGGTTGCCAAGACAACCCGGAAGGGAACAGGGACCCGTCAAGGAAGTTCCAGGAACAAAAGGCTCTCCCTAAAAGACCGCCGCTTCAAAAAAACCTGAGGAATGGAGTGGGCCAACACTATCCAGCCACTCCGACCAGCCAAAAGAACTCAATCAAAATGAGACACAGTAGGACCACAAGGGCAAGGAGACCACCACCTTCTCCAGTCTCTCTTTGGGCAGCCAGTAATTCCCGGGCAAGGCCAGAAACCTCAAGGCTACCTGAAAAGTCTCCAGAGGTCTAACCCCAGAAAAATAGCCAACAGGGTGTAGAGTACATTTTATACCCCAAAGGGTATACCCCATGGTGACGAAAATAAAATGAACATGTTGTAAAATGATGTGTGTGTCTGTGTGTCTCAAATGGTAGGGGTAGGGAGTAAGGGGGAAGAGGTGGGAGTGTGAGAAGGGAGGGAGGTGGGATCTTCTACAATTTCTTTAAATTCAACTTGCTCTTCGTTCTTTGGTTTCCTAGAGTGAAAGTTATGGTTATTGATTTTAGATTTCATTTTCTAATATAAACATTTAAAATATGCTATATATTTCCCTCAAGGACACACTTTAGCAGAATCCCACTTTTTGTATGTACATTTTTATTTTCATTCAACTTAATGTATTTTTAAAATTCTCCTGGGACTCCCTCTTTGACCCATAGGTTATATAGGAGCTTATTTTAAAATTTCCAATATTTGGGCATTTTTCAGATATCTTGGTGTTTGGTTTTGAGTTTTATTATATTATGGTCTAAGAAGAGGCTTTCTATTATTTCTATTCTTTTCAATTTGTAAGCTTTGTTTGATGGCCCAGAATACCATCTATCTTGGGAGATATTTCATGCACACTTGAGAGGATTGTTTATTCTGCTATTGTTGAATGCGGTGCTTTTCTTATTGTTTTATTTAGTCAGAGTAGTTAATGGTGCTTTTCAGGTCATCTATATCCTTCCTGGTTTTCTGCTTACTTTTTCTCCTAAGTACTGAGAAACAAATCAAAGAGTTTTGACAAACATTTAGTCCCATCAAACCACAACCACAGTGAAGGTGAAAAATATATTCATCCTCCCCAAAAGTTTCTTCCTGTCTGCTTGCTGTCAAACCATCTCTTCAGTAGAAGTGATCCAAGGTGAGCAGAAGTGAGCATCCGCTGACCATGACCATTTTCCCTGTTAACAAAGGCAGGTAGGCACAGAGAGCAGCAGTTGCTTTCAGACACAGGCAGTATCCAGGAGGAAAACCAGACCAATACTGTCATAGAAGGAGAGCTTTCTGGCCTGGACACAGGCTGTCTCTCCTTTTCTTGCACACTGCCAGTCCCCAAGTCTGGCTCTGCCTTCCTGGCCTCCCTGGCTCAGATGGGCGATTCACACCTCCTCACCATCTCCCCCCACTCCCTACAGACTGAATTAAGGGCTTTGCCACTTTCTATTGTTTTGTTGACTTGGTGTTTCCTCAGCATATATTGAATAAAAGTTTTCTGTAGGAATCAATACGTGCATGGAATGAATGAAATCACCTGGCATGGGAATTCTTTGATTCAAATTATGGAGTCTGCCCTTCCTGGGCCTCCTGCCTACATGAAGAAACCCACAGTTCTTTCACTTGTGCTCACTTGAGTTCAGAAATTCCATGGCAACTACCACGGAGAGGGTCACTGCAGACACCTTCTCCCCAGGCTCAAACACTTATCATGGAGGTAAGGATGCTTCCAACAGGATGGTGCATGACGCTTCCTCTATTGGACCAAACACATCCCCATCAGTTTAACAGGGAAGGGTGCCAACTCCACTGCCTTGCCATCCAACCTGCTCACATACACAGCTTGGGCCAACCCTCTACCCCAGACCCTGTCTGGTGGCAACACAGGCCTGTGATCAGTGCCCCAGTACACCTGTCTCCTCATGTGCCGAGAGCTCAGAAGCCTCACGAGTCCATCTGAGACATGGTCACCACCTGGATCATTTTCATTGCATGTCCACAGCCAATCCTTCATCTACAGAGTAGGAGCTTACTAGTCTCAGGGCACTCTTCCTCCAACTTCCCCTCCATGCAGCCTTGCTGCCACCTTTTACACCTCATAAATATTCCTGGCCTGTCTTGGTTGTTGCTCATCAATCAGCAACCCATTCACATAGTCCAGGCTCTATGGAGGGTCCACAGGAGATAAAACAGGAGCCCGCAGCAGGCTTGAAGACAACTTCCTGCCCTGGGACGCTGGCAAAAGTGCACACGACCACTGGAGTGGTGGAGAGAGGGAGCTCACCCAGAATGATGCAGGGAGCCAGCCATACTCTTCGTGAGAGAGGGAAAGGGATTCTGAGGGAGGGTTGGGTGTCTAGCACAACCGTGGTGTATTCAGTCAACAGGCCTGCCCATTCAGATCACACGGCCCCCTCCAGCTGGTGACGATGGTGCTGGAATTTCCTAAGCCTATTCCTTTTCATTGTCCTGCCCTCCCTCCTCTCTTCCCCCTTCTCTCCCTCAGGTCCCTGCCCCCACCGGGCTGAACTCTGGATTCAGACCTCTGAATGCCAGCCTGCCTGGGGAAATGTGGACTTGGTTTCATATACGGTCTCTCTCATGGACTCTGGCCATTGCTCTCCCCTTGTATTTGTTCATTTTCATACTGCTATGAAGAAATACCTGAGACTGGGTAATTTATAATAATAAAAAAAAGAGGTTTAATGGACTGACAGTTCTACATGGCTGGGAAGGCCTCACAATCATGGCAGAAGGGGAAGGAGGAGCAAAGATATGTCTCACATGGCAGCAGGCAAGAGAGCATGTGCAGGGGAACTGCCCTTTGTGAAAACATCAGATCTCCTAAGACTTATTTACTACGGCGAGAACAGCATGGGAAAAACTTATCCCTGTGATTCAATTACCTCCCACCTGATCCCTCCCATGACACGTGGAGGTTATGGGAGCTACAATTCAAGATGAGATTTGGGTGGGGAAACAATCAAACCATATCAGTGCTGGATCCTCCCGATTACCCTCATGGGCTGAGGGTGTCCTGTCTGCTCTCCTTCCCTGGCTCCTGTTCATTCTGACCAATTCCTTCTCAAAGCACAAGAGAAATGTCCTGTCCCCATTTCAGAATGTTAAACCATGCCTAGAGAAATGTTACTCAGGATGTCACTGTATAAATCCAACTTCATATGGGTGAGGGATTAAGTTAGTGTGTACTTAACCTAATTAGAGAAAGCAAAGACACAAAATAACAGTGAAACAATATTTCTTCACTAAATTTTATTCATAATTTTCACCAAAAATGAGAAGATTGATAACACAAAATCTTTCTGTGAGTGTAGGATATTCACATCTATTAATTTGTGAGAAAATTAATTGGTACAGTATTTTTGGAATAAAATTTTGACAATACTTCTAAAAAGTTAAACTATTCACACCATTTCCACTTTAACCCAATGTCCATGTTACTATATCTTTCTTATTGGAAAGCATGCATATCTGTCCAAAAACGTATGTTTATTTCAGTTCTATTAATCATAGCAACAAATGGGAATGAACGTATGTGTTTATCAGGAAAGGAAAGGTTTAATTAACTATGGCACACACCTACTTTAGAATTCTAGGGAATACTTACAAAAGTGATGTCGATTGTAGGTATAGTTGTGGGAAGACCTTGCGTTCATCTTATTACGTGGCAAAGGCATGTGACATATCAATACGTGCATCACTACCTGTGGGTGTTAAAACACTATATATTTTCATAAAACATCCATGTCTAAAAAAATCCTAGACTGAGCTTTAAAATGCTGCCCACGGATCTCATCCTCCACACTCTTCTTCATCAAATCACCACCAACTCTTACCCTTCTCCCTCCCTCTCAACTAAGGGAGCAACGTCACCAACCTCAGAAGTCAGGTCAATAGAGATTCTCTCCATCAGTTCACAGTCCCTCACTTCCTAAAACTCTTCCGTGTCTTTCCACCTCACCATCTCCCTCACGCCCCCCATAGACTGAGTTAAGGGCACTGCTGCTTTCTTGTGTTTTTTTGACTTGGTGTTTCCTCAGCATATATTGAATAAAAGTTTTCTGTAGGAATCAATAAGTGCATGAAATGAATGAAAGTACCAGGCATGGGAATTCTTTGGTTCAAATTATGGAGTCGGTCTGGCCTGGGCCTCCGACCTGCATGAAGAAACCCACAGTTCCTTCACCTGTGCTCACTTGAGCTCAGAAAAACCCGTGGAAACTACCAACGAGAGGGTCACTACAGATGCCTTATCCCCAGGCCCAAACACCGTCATGGAGGTGAGGATGCTCCCAACAGGATGGTGCATGATGTTTCCTTTATTGGACCCCACACATCCCCATCAGTTTAACAAGGAAGGCTGCCAACTCCAACGCCTTGCCATACAACCTGCTCATGTACACACCTTGGGCCAGCCCTGTACGCCAGACAGTGTCTGCTGGCAACATAGTCCAGCGATCACTGCCCTACGACACCAGTCCTCTTGTGTGCCAAGAGTTCAGAAGCCACAGAAGTCCATCTGAGACGCAGTCACCACCTGGTTCATTTTCAAGGCACGTCCACAGCCAATCCTTCATCTGCAGAGTCTGAGCTGACTAGTCCCAGGGCACTCTTCCTCCCATTTCTCCTCCATGCAGCCCCACTGCCCCTTTCAACTGCTCATGGGCATTCCTGGCCTGTTTTGGCAGTTGGTCATCAGTCAGCAACACACTCACATAGCCCAGCCTCTATGGAGGGCCCCCAGGGGATAAAACACCAGCCCCCAGCATGCATGAAGGCCTCTCCCAGATCTGGGATGCTGGCGAAGGTGCAAAGGACCACTGGAGGGTTCAAGAGAGGTAGCTGGCCCAGAATGATGCAGGGAGCCAGCCAAACTATTCCGGAGAGAGGGAAGGGGATTCTGAGGGCGGGAAGGTTGACCAGCACAGCCCTGGTGCATTCAGCCAACAGGCTTACCCACTCAGATCACAGGGCCTCCTCCAGCTGGTGATGATGGTGCCAGGATTTCCCAAGCCTATTCCTGTTCATTGTCCTGTCCTGCCCCCTCCCTTCCCCCTTCTCTCCCTCAGGCTCCTGACCCCACCGGCCTGAAGTCTGGATTTAGAGCTCGGAGTGCCAGCCTGCCTGGGTCTCAGTGGACTTGGTTTTGCATGTGCTCTCTGTCATTGACACTAGCAATGGCTCTCTCCTGGATCCTCCCTGGATCCTCCCTCACAGGCTGAGGGTCTCCTGTCTGCTCTCCTTCCCTGGTTCCTCTTCAGTCTCACCAAATCCTTCTCAAAGCAGAGAAGAAATATCCTGTCCACACTTCAGAATTTTAAATCAATTGTGATTTTTATGAGAATTTGAATTGGTACAGCATTTTTGTAATAACATTTTAGAAATATTTTAAATGTTAAACTATTTTCACCCTTTCACTTTAACCCAATGTCCATGTTAATATAGCCTTCTTATAAGAAAACCATGTTTGCCTAAAATTCATAGGCAGAGATGTTTATTTTATTCTATTTATCATATAGCAAATGGGAAACAACTTATATGTCCATTAGGAAGAAAGAGTTTAATTAATTTTGGTGCATGTCTACTTTAGAATTATAGAAAGTGGTTTCAAAAGTGAGAAAGATCTACCTGTCTCTATCTATCTATCTATCTATCTATCTATCTATCTATCTATCTATCTATCATCTATCTATACTGTTGTCGAAAGATCCTACATGCATTTTATAAAGTGATAAAAGCAGATCAGTATGTATGTCATTGTTCTTGTATATTGAATAAAAATAATATATTGTTATAGTTTGTCAGTGAAAAGCCTAGAGTCAGCAGTAAAATAATACACAACATTGTTAATTGTGGTGACCTCTGCGGGGGGGCGGGGGGTGTTGTTAACTGTGGAGGAGCTTTGTAAAAAAAAAATTGTGAATTATCTACATTTCTATCATTTTTGAAATAAGAATATATACCAAACTACATTTTAAATAAAAAATATTTAATACTGACAACAGAAATACTAGCCGTGTCAGTTTAAGTAATTGCTAGCTGATGCAACAGAACAACCATGAATGGCTTGACACAACAGAAGTTTATTTTATGTGCAAATAAGTTCTGATGCGGTTTGGCAGGGGCTCTCCACTCTCACATGACCCAGGGATCCAAGCTGCTTCCACCTTTTGATTCCGTCATCTCAAGATGAAGCTGCCATGTTTGCTGTTGAAAGCGGAGAGAAAGCATGGAAATGGCACACTGGCTCTCAAATGCCTGGATGTGACAAACAATGCTTCTGCTCCTGTATTGGTGTAAAGGAAAAGTCACATGATCCTAACTGCAAGGACTTTACTGTTCCCATGTGTCCAGGAAGGAGACAGAGACAAAATGTGGGTGAGTACTATACCCTTCCCCATAAACTGTTACATAGTGGGTGCTCAACAAAAAGCAACTATGATCATTTGGTATTATACTACCCTTCTCATTTCTAGGAGGAGTTTCTGAGAAGGCCAAATTTACCTTGAAGTTCTCCAGCGTTTTCCAGTGTCAAATATGTGACTGATGTTTTCAAACATACGATCACAACTAACTGTTCAAGAATCTTGAAAGTCTCAGCAGGAAGGCTTTCCTTTGTAATATCCTTTAAATCCTTAGTAGGCTGAGAATTGTTCCTCCATTTGATTCCCGGTCAAAATGTTAACCTGTGAATTTCTGCTACCCTCCACACGCCTGTACACCTGTCGAGGTAGGCACGCTGAAGGCCAGTATTTTCCTGTGGAGCAGGTAAACAGACAAGAAACAGAAGGCTGCTTAATTATTCCTCTTTCATTAGAGTTGACATGTTTTCAAGGTATAGTTTTTAAACTCCTGGAGGACTCCAGAAATTTAGGAATTCAGCCTCAGTAAGTAGATGTTTGTTCCACTGGGGTTTCCCAAGGTTTTTCTCATCTAATACTCATGAGAGACGGTTTGCTCTTTGATCATTTATCTGTGCATGTATTCAGAGGCGAATTCCAAAAGGACGCCCTGTGAAAGTCCGATTTCAAGTATCAAGGTGGTTCCAAATCCCTCTAACTTCAGGGTGACATCACACAAGAACCCTTAGATAATATGGCGAATCAGACTCCTCAGCCCATTCAGAAAACGATTAGAGAGTGTGTTGAAGACAACCAGAGTGGTAACCAAGTGTCTAAGCGTCACTGTCCCCGTGTGAGTTTTTATACAAAAGGGTTTTTGACATCATATGGCTTCCTGGGTGAGAGACGGAACAGCCAGAGGACTTCTACTATGAGAAGGAATGCTCCCTGTCAGGAGGTGAGCAGGGGATTCTGGGCTGTTCTGTGAGGATCAGTGAGGAGCTGATCAGCAGGCCCTATAGGTTCCAGAGTCAGACAGGACACATGGAAGTGACCCGGGGAAATGTGCTGTAATTCTGAAAGTGCTGGGGCTGCAGAGAAATGCCCACAACTGGGCAGAGTTAGCTCTCAAGGAACCTAGCGCACACCAGCCCCAAATGGTGTTTGATTCTCACTGTCGCGTTCTCCAGGCCTGCTTCATTATGCTGGCCTCAAGGTCCTTCTTTTTGTCACCTGAGAGACATGGTGCAGTGCTGAGAAGAAAAATGAAGTCGCTGTCAGGAGGTCAGCCTCGGGCTCGGAGAAGTGGGGACAGCATGGGCTCTAAAGGAATTCATGCCAGGGGTCTGGTTCCAGCCCTGTTCCTTACTAGCCACGTGATACTGAGAAATACCCAGGAAATACCCTGTTCTTATATCCCAATTCACAAGCTCTGTAAGCCCTGGATTCTTCATCTGTAAGCAGATGTGATAAGGCCTGTCTAGTAGGACAGTCGGAGTGTATGCAACGCAGGTGAACCACCTGGCTCCGGGCCTGGTGTAAATTGGAAGTTTCACAAATGGCGGATGGCTGTTATTTCCAATATGCTTTAACCCGAGGCCCGAACACTGGGATTTTGTTGTTGTTGTCGTTGTTCTCCAGGACTTATCAGAGAACATACAGCTCAATAGGACATGGAATAATTAGCCCCAAACAGAAGCTTCTTCCATAAAATTCAGTTAAGTATTTCCTCTTAGAGAATGCACTTCAAAATTTGGTTGTGCGGGAGTTTTGCCCAGCCAGGTGCAGCTCAAAGCTCCTAGAATGTGAGTCAAAGACCAACTCCTTCCCTCTCTCCCAGCTGCTTTCCCATCCAAACCACTATATTCATCCACTTTGTTACCATCCAGAATCTAGCCCGTGCTTACAATTGGTCAAATTGCACTTGAGATAACCTAGTTAGAATGCCTTTTTAATGGAGTCAGCTCTGGCTCTCCCTGCCTGGCAGAAAAGCACCTGGCCGGCCGGGCGCGGTGGCTCACGCCTGTAATCCCAGCACTTTGGGAGGCCGAGGCGGGCGGATCACGAGGTCAGGAGATCGAGACCATCCCGGCTAAAACGGTGAAACCCCGTCTCTACTAAAAATACAAAAAAAATTAGCCGGGCGTAGTGGCGGGCGCCTGTAGTCCCAGCTACTTGGGAGGCTGAGGCAGGAGAATGGCGTGAACCCGGGAGGCGGAGCTTGCAGTGAGCCGAGATCCCGCCACTGCACTCCAGCCTGGGCGACAGAGCGAGACTCCGTCTCAAAAAAAAAAAAAAAAAAAAAAAAAAAAAAAAAAAAAAAGAAAAGCACCTGGCCAGTGGCTTCTGGGTCACCCTTCCTGGGAAATTCAGCCTTATCGCTCAGGAAACCCTTGCAGATGATGGGTGTCCATCACCTAGATCTTGGGCTGTGTTCAACAGCATTGGGCAAAAACACAGGACACCTTCCATTCCAGCCCCAGGTGGAGATTCCTCTCTCTTCATCCCCATCCTAAAGAAACTGCTCAGGGTAGCATTCCATTCCAGGCTTTTCTCTCACCCTCTGAGAATCTGGCCCTGGACCCACCGGGCATCATTAGAATCAGCTCCTTCAGAAGGAACTGCAGGTTCCCAGATCCCAAATTGCCCCAGCTCAGGGCATTTATACTCACCACTCTCACCTGGAACCCCACACCCTCACCCCTGTCTTACATTTCCACTACATCCTAGAGGACTTCTCGCCACCTTAATTACATGACTGCAGCTCCTAGACTCTATGACCCTATGGGTAGACGTGAGTCTGGCTTACCTTAGAATCCCCACTACTACCAGGGCCTTCCACAGAGCAGATGCTGAGTGAATGGTAAAGAAATGAGCCAGTGAACAGGAAGAATTATTTATTCAGATTTAATTTCTTTTGCATTCTCAAAGAAGCAAAAACATACACATATTTTTAATTTTACATAATAGACTGAGGTATAAGGCAAGAATTAACTATCTTTTGAGTTCCTTGTATCATGTATTTTACTGCTAATTCGTTCACAATATAGGCAAATACATATTCCACTGCTGTTATTATGTGACAACTCACAAAATGGAATGGATTTCCCAATCTGAATAAAAAACAGGACTCTTACCCCTAAACTATATAAACAGCACTATGTGTGACTACTGTCATTCATAAACTTGGATGCTGAAGTTCATCCAACCATTTGTTAAAAGGAACATTTGAACAATTCCAACAGGAAACAAAGATAAATCTCAAAGTCATCCAACAGAACAGAAACTCACTGCTAAGAATGCTGACTGCTCTCTTCAAAGAGGCAGGAATGGGCCTCATATCACACGAGGCAGTGGAAGCTAATGGATGGGGCCCTGGAAGGTGCACTGGCCCAGACCCCCTCCCACTGGCCCTGGCTGCAACATGTGCTGAGACTCACTCTTCTCCCTCTCTCAAAGCCCGTTCATGCAGGGGTGGGTAGGAAATGTGAGGTTCTCCACCGATCTTTAGTGTATGGTGCAGGACTTTCACATAGCTGGTTTCAATGAGGGCCCTTGGACCCCACAGGAACTCGTAGCATGCAGGATCACTGCCGGGCACCTGCCGGTACTCCAGGTAGTTTTCCTGCACCAGATCTTGCATGAGCAGCTTCCTGGGATGTGCGAAGACACTGTCCTCCCTCCCCTCAAACACCTCCAACATACTCAGCTCCTCCCAGATTTTCTCCTCAGGGGCACAGTCGCCCTCTATTGCGATTATGGCCAGGACGATTATCAGGAGGCCTGTCTTGGGCATGACCTGATTGTCGCCCAGCAGGCCATCGTAGGAGAGGCCCAGGCAGGTGACAAGGATGTACAAGTGGCTGATGGGGACCACTTCCACCACCTCGATGCCAAAGACCAGCTGCAAGTACTCGGAGGCTTTGCTGAAGATCACGGGAAAGAAGTCCTGGCAATTTCTGAGGACACTCTCCAGCATTTCTGCCTTTGTGACCGGCTCCCTGGCTCGATACTTGAGGAGCAGAAAATGAACCAACTCAACCATCTTCCTACTGATTGCTGCTTGGAACTCGGACTCCAGGTCGGGAAACATTCTTGGCCCCTCCTCTTCTTGGTTGCTGGAGCCCTCATCGGATTGTCTCCAAAGAGTGTAGTTGATGGTAGTCGAGAAGCTGGAGGCTCCCTGAGGACTGTGGGGAGGACTCGGTGAGTCGGCAGCAGGCACCTCCCCCAGGGTAACTTCCACTAGAGTAGAAGAGGAAGAAGCGGTCTGCTGCTCCTCAGTAGCAGGAGCCTGCGCACCCACCAGGCCCAGGGCCTCTCCTCGGGCCTCAAGGCCTTCTTCAGGCTTGCAGTGCTGACTCCTCTGCTCAAGAGGCATGATGACTCTGGTCAGGGCAGCAGGCAGGAGTGCGGGCAGGAGCTGGGCAATGAAGACCCACAGGCCTGGGGAGAGAAGGAGCGTGTGTGAGGCCTTAGGTGAGAACTGAACTGAACCTTGGAGGCTCTGACAAAGGCTTACTTACAGATCTTCTCCTTCAATGCTCCTCCAGTGCCTCGGGTCCTACTTGTCAGCCTGTCCCCCTCAGAACCTGAAGGAGGAAGTGGGAGGGCACCTCAGGGTACAGCCGGCCAGCACATGCTCAGGCTGCAGGACTGAGAATAGGGAGGGTGAGGCCAGGCCCTCTGGAGTCCCATTTGTTCTGGGCGGGTGGGGCCCTTGGTGTGCATTCCAGGCAAACCTTCAGTGTTGGCACTGTCTGCGTCCCCTCTGCTCTGTGACCTGAGGACACTGACTCAGACCAAGGCCTCACTGCCTGGTTCCTGGAGCTCCTGATTCCTGGGAGAGGAATGCACGGGCCTTCAGTGTGCAGACTGCAAGCACAGCCACGGATTCCCAGAAGTCTCAGCAGGGTTGGCCAGACTCCGTGAGGTCCCCACTCTACTTGGGTGGAGGGTCCCCTCTGTGCTCACTCAGGGCCCTCACCTTTCTCCTTGTAGGGCCTAATCCCACCCTTTTGCTGGCTTGAGAATCTCTCATGTCAAGAACTCACATCCCTGATATGGTACAGAAGGAGATGAGGGGACCCACATCTGGCCATACGTGACCAGGTCCTCCCGCGAAGGACAACGAGAGATGTCCAAATTCATTGGAGTCCAGGTGTCCTGGGTGACGAGTCCGCTTGGTCCTCACGTCCACTCCTGGCAGGGCCTGAGACCCTCCCTCTACTGACCTGACTCCAGCCCCTTCAGACCAAGGCCTCCCCTTCCCTGACATCAAAGATCCCAGGATAATGGAGGGACTTCAGCTGACAGCCCTGCCCAGGGTCTCTGAAGTAACCGCAGGGGCAGGGCAGATTTCTATGGGGCCCCCTGTCTGCATTCTGGCCCAGGAGTACCCTCAATCCTACCTCAGGCTCTCCACCTGGATGCTTGGCAGATCCTAGAACCACTGCATCTGTCGACCAGATGGGGGCCCCTGTGTTGACCTGAGTCACCTTCTGAAAACAAGGTCATCAACTCCCTGAGATCTGGAAACAGAAGTGAGGAGGGGCCACATCCTGTTACCCCCACGTGCGTTGTCCAGGGCTGACCCCTTTGGTTCTAGGGTGAACGTTATGATGGCCTCCTGTGGGTTACTCATCTTTACTCCTGCCAGGGACTGCCCTTTCTCAACCCCCAACCCCCTGAAATGAGCAGACAGCTCCTCTTTACACCAACACCTTATCTCCCTGAGGGTTCCCCAACCTCCTGCCTGTGGTACAAATGAGATTGTCACTTAGGGCCATCCCTGATCAGGTTCCCCCAGAGCTAAGAACAAGGGACGGCCAGACTCTGTGGCATCCCTTCTTTCTGGGCCGGGGGTATCCCCAGTCCTCATGAAGGGGGCACACCTTGGGTCCGGCAGATCCTGGGATTCCTCCCTCTGCTGACCTGAAGTCCCAGCCCTCAGACCACAGCCCTCAACTCTCTGTCACCCTGAAGGTGCAATGAGCACGGGGCACATTCGGCCACTGTGCCCAGGATCCCCCAGCCCAAGGTTGCCACTGATCTGGACTCCAAGGTCCCCTCAGTCCTCCCTCTTCTTCCTCCCCTTGACTCCTCGCAGGGCTGGGCCCCAACCCCCTGCTGAAGTGGGTCTGCATCCCTAGGATTCCCGCGGCTGAATGAAAAGGTGGCTCAGTTTGAGACAGGGGTACAGTGGGCCCCCTGTCCTGGCATGCTGGGTCCCCTAAGGACTCCACTGTCTTCCAGGAGGGCCTGGGCCCTTCCTCTGCATCCCAAAGGCCATACTCACGAGACCCAACCCCTTCCCTCCCTTAGCCGTACATGTGAACGTCAGGATCCGCGTGCTTGGCCGCCATTCCCGGAGCTTCCGTGGGTTGATTGCAGGGGCAAAGCCCGGATTCTGCCAGGATGGTGGTGGGGGAGGAGATGGGAATGGGGTTTGGGGGTGGGGTTGGTGTTTGAGGGATGGGGGTGGGGTTGGTGTTGGGGGATGGGATTGGTAGTGAGGGTAGGGGGTGGGTTGCCCTCAGTCCCCTCTTGGGGTCCTGACCTTGATTCCTGGCTGAGTCTGGGCCCTGAGCACTTCTAACCAGCCCTGCCCTGGTCACACAAAGCTCTTACGCCAGAGTTCCCTGCGGTTAAAGCGGCGGGGGGTGGCGGGGTGAGGTGGTGGCGACTCAGCCTGAGAAGTCTTCCCCTGCAGGGTGGTCCAGGCCCGGCAGCAGAGGCAGCGCTGGATTATTGGGGGCCCTCTGTCTGGGGTGAGGCCCGCCTCAGTCCTCCCTCGGCGTCTTACCTTGCCTCCTCACGGAGCCTGCGCCTGCTTCCCTCCGCCGACGTCAGGCCGTTGCTCAGGGCGAGAATCTCGCTGTCCTCTGACCTCCAATGCGCAAGTCAGTGGCGTCACATCCGGGCCCGTGACTTCCCTGGGTTCACGGCAAGGGTGGAACCGGATTCTGCCCGGATGGGGATCTGGATGGGGGGGTGGGGGTAAGCATGAAGATGGTGTTGGTGTAGGGGTAGGGATTGGGACGGGGATCCTGAGGCTGTAGATCCTGGTGGGGTCGGGGGAGTTGGGGGTGGGAGGGGCCTTTGGTCATCCCTCAAGGTCCTGACTTGGATGCCAGACTGAGCCTGGACCGCCATCCTCTGCCGATTGTGTCTGCTCCCCTCAGACCAAGTCTCTGACTCTGAGTCGGCCCGAAGTGGCATTGGGGGGAGGGGTGTGCTCGGGGTGAGATCATTGCCAGTGTGTACCAGGGCTGACAAGAGGGGCTGAGCTGGATTCTGTGGTCCCACTATGTGGGTGAGGGTGGATCCTCAGTCCTCACTCAGGAGGGTCCTCTTCCTCACTCCTGGCTGTTTGATGAAGGAATGGGTGGGAGATGCTCTGTTTCTGTCACCTCTGAGCATCTGCGCATCTGCGCATCTGCACCCCTTGTAGAGAATGGCTGCGGGTGCCAGGCCAGGTGCTCCCTGCAGGGCAGGAGCTCCCGCGATGATAGTGACCTCTGGGAGAAGACGCACACCTTCCCACGGGGGCTCCTCCCCAGCCAGAGCTACACTTGGCAAACCTTTGGTCCTAAATGATTTATTCTCTGAATTGAAGAAATACGGTTTACATATCTTCTAAGTATATATGTAGGTAGCAATATATATATTTATTTCTATGAACTAACACCTACCCTTAGTATGCATGATTCACTCTGATATCCTAGTCTACTTCCATTCCAGTCTTTGTGTTCTGTTGAAAGAATTTTTTTAAAAAACATAATTCCTCTCCCACTCTGTTGGTTTCAGGTTGTTATTAGCAGAACTCTGGAGCCATGCTGCCTTAACAAACCCAATTTTCCTGGTGGACACTGCTATTACCTAGGGCTCTTGGCATCGTGTTTTCAGGGGCTGCCTCAGATTGTGCAATGAAGTGAAGTGGAAAATTCAAAACTTTTATTCTACCCATTCTTTCATCTGCCGTCTAGGCAGGCTACAAACCTCCCCAACATCTCTGCCGCTAACCCCCTCCAACAGACACTGCAAGTGTCACACACAAGTACCAGCTCAACACAGTCTCCAGTCTCACTCTGGGCTTTCCCTGTTTTGTTGTGTAGATTTTCTTGCTGATACTGGTGTTTTACTTTCTGTTTCCATTCTATAAATTTACAGGGTTGATTTGGGAAGCAGAGCACAGCAGCCCAAATTTGCTTGTAATGTCGGCGGCTACAGGTAAGGCACTAAATTGTAAATAATTTAAGCTGAGTTTACATTTTTACACTGTTGTGTTCCCCGTGAATGAATATGTTATACTCCTCTATGGATTTCAAGCTCTTTTTTCCTGAATATGTCAGTATACTTCGGTAGTTGCCTCTATAAACAACTTATACATTTTTATTAGGCTTCTATTCAGGTAATTCTTGGATTTTGTTGCTATTGCAAGTGGCATATTGTCTATCAATTGTTGTAGTTAGTTATTGCTTTCGTGAGGTGAAGATTTTGATTTTGCTGTAGTAATCTGTTGCACACCTCGTTCTGAAGGCCGATGCACTTGAATATTCCGCATACCTTTTCCTTTGAATTTTCAAGATCGATAATGGTATTATCACTAAACACTACATGTTTTTCCAATGTTCATACCACTCACTCATTTCGGTACTTACAGCTCTTTGTGTCTCAATCCTGATTTCAAATGTAGAGATAATAGGCTACATCTACTTCTCGTTCCTGACTTGAATGATAATTCTTCGAACATTTGACATTTAAGTATGTTTGCTGTTGATTTTAGGAAATGGAAGTTCTCTTTCAGTATAGGTTGCCTAAATATTTTCTTTTTTACCATGAATTCATATTAAATTTATTTAAAAAGCTTTTTCTGTACCCGTTGGCAGGATCAAATTTTTTTCTCTTCCATTTTGTATGTAAGGAATCACAATGAAACAGATGTTTTTTCTAATGTTAAATCATATTTTATTTCCTTGGGCAGAGCCTGTTTATTCGTTTAATGTACTACTAATTTATGTAGGATATTTACTGCTGTGTAAGAGAGCTTACTTGATGTGTTCTTTTTCCATCAGGGGAGGTATGTGGTCCTCATCTGGTTTTTAAATCCAGGAGGGCTAGCCTGGGAGAATGAACTGAACAATTGTCAGTCTTTTGTATGTTCTGGAAGAGTTGATATAAGGCGGTGGTTAGTTTTCCCTGATCATTTGGTAAAATTGGCCTCCAAAGCTGTCTAACCTGGAATGTTTGAGGGTGGCTTGAGCTTTGAATATTGTACAGTTTCTGTTGTATAGTTAAAGTTTTCTTTTCCTCTTTGGATCAGTTTGGTTACTGATTTATTTTATTTCTACAAAGTGGTCAGTTTCATTTAGGATTTCACTTTTAATGGCATATTTATGATAAAAAAGTTTTATTAGGGAAAGCCTTCACACATACAGAATAACAGGAACGAATATAATGAACCCAGGATACTTGATACCGAGCATGAACATCTTTAAATACACAGCAAATCTGGTTCCAGTTAAACACTCGCCTACCTGCATATGAGCTGCTGGAATAACGTGGAGTAAATCTAAGGCATTAGACCATTTCATCTCTAAATAACTTAATATGCATTTTTAAAAGATAAGGATTTTTTTAAAACAAAAAGCCGATAGTTTTCATATCTAAAAAATTAAATAAATGATTATCAAATGTTCAACTATGTTACACACTTATCTGGCCAACTTAAACTTTATAAAATATATATTTCTTTGATGGAGTACAAAATGTGTTAACTTTTCCCCCCACTTGCTTCATTGTGGTGGTTTCATATATCTATTATACAACTAGGTGTGTGTGTGTGTGTGTGTGTGTGTGGAACATTCTACCTGCCGTCCCGTGATTCTCCAACCTCTTAAGTTACTTTTAAACTTTACATACATTAAGCTTCACTCTTTGTGCTGTAAAGATCTATGGGTTTTGACAAATGCCTCGTGCCATTGTCTTAGTCCGTTTGGGCTTCCATAACAAAAATAGTGATAGACTGGGTGGCTTATAGACAACGCAACTTTATTTCTCACATTCTGGAGGTTGGGAAGTCCAAGATCAAGGTGCTGGCAGATTTCATGTCTGGTGGAGTCCTGCTCCCTAGTTCATAGACAGCTGCCTTTTCCCTAGATCCTCACATGCAAGAAGGGATAAGGGATCTCCGTGGAGTCTGTTTTATAAAAACACTAATCCCATTCATGAGGACTCTGCTCTCATGATCTAGTCATTCTCCAAATACCCCACCTTCTGCCTAATACCATCACCTTGGTAATTCAGCAGATGAATTTTGTGGCAACACAAATATTCAGACCAAAGCAAGCACGGAACCACCATTGCAGTATTATGCATACCAGTTTCACTGCCCTGATAAATTCCCTTGTGCTTGTCGGATAAACCCCATGGCCACCACTGATAGGTTTTTCATCTTTATAATTTTGCATTTTCCAGAATGTCATATAAATAGAATCTTATACTATGTAGCCTTTTTAGACTGGTTTCTTTCACTTAGCATAATGAACTGAAGAGTCATGTATAACTTTGTGTGGCTTGGAACTTATTCCTTTTCATTGAGGAGTAGTATCAATGTCTGGTTATATATATATATATATATATATATATATATATATATATATATCCATTCACCAAATGAAATACATTTTGGATGCTTCTATTTTTGGTGATTATGAAATAAGCTATTGTATACATTCATATACAAATTTTTATGTAGACATAAGTTTTCAAATCAATTGGGTAAATTGATTGAGTATGGCTGCTGAATCTTGTGCTAAGTCTATTTTCATTTTTTTAAGAAAACGCCAAACTGCCTTCCAAAGTGGCTGTGCCATTTTGCATTTCTACCAGCAATGAAGGAGAGTTTCCGTTGCTCCACATCTTCGCTGGCAATTGTTCTTGGTCTTGTATTCTTTGTTTTGGTTTTCTATGGATTTTGGACATTCTGATAGGTGTGCAGTGGTATCCCATTTTAGTACACAATTATCTAATGCCAAAGGGTGCTCAGTACTTTTATTATGCTTATTTGCCATGTGTATATCTTCTTTTGTGTAGTGTGTGTTCAGATCTTTGACTATTTTCATTTTTTCTATCATTGAGCTTTAAGAATTCGCATATATTGTAGAGACAAGTTCTTTATCACATATGTGTACCGCAGATGTTTTCTGCTAGTCTGTGGCTTCTGTTTTCATTCTCTTAACATTGTCCTTTGAAGAGCATAAGATTTTTATTTTAATAAAATCAACTTGGCAAATTTTTCTTTCCTTGATCATGCTTTTGGTGTTGAATTTAAAAACTCATCACCAAACTCAAAGTTATGTGGATTTTCTCTTATGTTTTCTTATAGAGGTTGTATTGTTTTTGCATTTTTCATTAGACCTATGATGTATCTTGAGTTAGTTTTCATGGAATATGTAAGGATATGTCCAGGTTATTATAATTTGTGTATAGGTGTCTAATTGTTCCGACACCTTTTGTTGGAAAACCTGTACTTTCACCATTATTGCCTTTGTTGTGAATCACCTGACTATATGCGTGCAGGTCTATTTCTGAGCTCTATTCTGTTTTATTAATCTGTGTGTCTATTCTTTGCTAATGCTTATGTCCTCCACCAAATTCATATTTTGAAGCCCTCAGCCCCAGGGTGTCTGTATTTGGAGATGAGGCTTCTAGGGAAGTGATTAATGTTAAAAGAGGCCATAAGGGTGGGACCTTGATCCCATAGAATTAGTTTGGTTATAAGAAGGGAGAAGAGACAGAAGAAAGTACTTTTGTGCCTACATGACCTTTCTCTCTCTCTCTCTCTCTCTCTCTCTTTCTCTCTCTCTCTCTCTCTCTCTCTCTCTCTCTCTCTCTCTCTCTCTGCACATGCACAGAGGAAAGGCCAAGAATGGACAGATTAATAAAGGGCCATCTACAAGCCACGAATAAGGCCATCACCAGAAGCCAACCCCGCCAGTCCTTGATCTAGGACTTCCAGACTTCAAAACTGTGAGAAAAAAAATAAATTTCTGTTGTTTTAGCTACTCACTCAATGGCATTTTGTTATGGCAGCCTGAGCTGACTTAAGACATAACTTCAGGTGACACAATTTTTTTTTTGTTTCCTCCTAGAAAAAAAAAAAGTAATTTTGACATTTAAAGTCTGTAGTTCATTTTGAGTTACATTTCTGTATGGTGCAAGATATGTGCAATGGCTAGTACTATGTGTCAACTTGTCTAGGCTATACTGCTCAGCTGTGTGGTCAAACAGTAGTCTAGATGTTGCTGTGAAGGTATTTTGTAGATGTGATCAACATTTACAATCAGTTGATTTTAAGTAAAGCAGTTTAACTTCCATAATGTGGATGGGCCTCATCCAATTAGTTGAAGGTGTTAAGAGAAAAGACCAAGGTTTCCTGGAAAAGGAATTCTACCACAAGACTAACATAAAAATGCGCTGTGAGTTTCTAGCCTGCTGGCCTGCCTTCACTGTCCTGGGGGAGGCTTGGAGAGACCAGGTGGACTGGAGTAGACTGTTGAGAGACGCTGGTCTGGTGAAGATGTCCAGGAAACCACGAGCCTCCAGCCCATTGTCCAACAACCACCCACCAACACCAAAGAGGCGAGGAAGTGGAAGGCATCCTCTCAACCCTGGCCCAGAAGCCCTATCAAAGTGAACGGCCCACCCAAGCTCTGACTCCTACCCTGTCCTCCCCTGGCACAACCCCCACCCCAGCCTGCACCATTTCTCTATGAAGCCCCTGTTCTCACCCCTCCTCCATCCTCTTCCCCAAACCAGTGCCCTTCTTTGATCTCCCTGTTTCCTTCCAGGTTCCCAAGACAACCCGGAAGGGAAAAGGGACCCATCAAGGAAGTTCCAGGAACAAAAGGCTCTCCCTAAAAGACCGCCGCTTCAAAAAAACCTGAGGAATGGAGTGGGCCAACACTATCCAGCCACTCTGACCAGCCGAACGAGGAACTCAATCAAAATGAGCCATAGCGGGACCACAAGGGCAAGGAGACCACCACCTTCTCCAGTCTCTCTTCGGACAGCCAGTAATTCCCGGGCAAGGCCAGAGACTTCAAGTCTATCTGAAAAGTCTCCAGAGGTCTAACCCCAGATAAATAGCCAACAGGGTGTAGAGTACATTTTACACCCCAAAGAGTGTGCCCCATGGTGATGAAAATAAAGTGAACATGTTGCAAAATGATGTGTGTGTCTGTGTGTCTCAAATGGTAGGGGTAGGGAGTAAGGGGAAAGAGGTGGGAGTGTGGGAAGGGAGGGGGGCATCCTCTACAATTTCTCTAATTCAACTTGCTCTTCGTTCTTTGGTTTCCTAGGGTGAAACTTTTGGTTATTGATTTTAGATTTCATTTTCTAATATAAACATTTAAAATATGCTATATATTTCCCTCAAGGACACACTTTAGCAGAATCCCACTTTTTGTATGTACATTTTTACTTTCATTCAACTTAATGTATTTTTAAAATTCTCCTGGGACTCCCTCTTTGACCCATAGGTTATATAGGAGCTTATTTTAAAATTTCCAATATTTGGGCATTTTTCAGATATCTTGGTGTTTGGTTTTGAGTTTAATTATATTATGGCCTAAGAAGAGGCTATCTATTATTTCTATTCTTTTCAATTTGTAAGCTTTGTTTGATGGCCCAGAATACCATCTATCTTGGGAGATATTTCATGCACACTTGAGAGGATTGTTTATTCTGCTATTGTTGAATGCGGTGCTTTTCTTATTGTTTTATTTAGTCAGAGTAGTTAATGGTGCTTTTCAGGTCATCTATATCCTTCCTGGTTTTCTGCTTACTTTTTCTCCTAAGTACTGAGAAACAAATCAAAGAGTTTTGAGAAATGTTTAGTCCCATGAAACCACAACCACAGTGAAGGTGAAAAATATATTCATCCTCCCCAAAAGTTTCTTCCTGTCTTCTTGTTGTCAAACCATCCCTTCAGTAGAAGTGATCCAAGGTGAGCAGAAGTGAGCATCCGCTGACCATGACCATTTTCCCTACTAACAGAGGCAGGTAGGCACAGAGAGCAGCAGTTGCTTTCACACACAGGCAGCATCCAGGAAGAAAACCAGATCGATAGTGTAATAGAAGGAGAGCTTTCTGGCCCGGACACAGGCTGTCGCTCCTTTTCTTGCACACTGCCAGTCCCCAAGTCTGGCTCTGCCTTCCTGGCTTCCCTGGCTCAGATGGGCGATTCACACCACCTCTTCATCTCCCCCGACTCCCTACAGACTGAATTAAGGGCCTTGCCACTTTCTATTGTTTTGTTGACTTGGTGTTTCCTCAGCATATATTGAATAAAAGTTTTCTGTAGGAATCAATACGTGCATGGAATGAATGAAATCACCTGGCATGGGAATTCTTTGATTCAAATTATGGAGTCTGCCCTTCCTGGGCCTCCTGCCTACATGAAGAAACCCACAGTTCCTTCACCTGTGCTCAGTTGAGTTCAGAAACCCTGTGGAAACTACCACGGAGAGGGTCACTGCAGACGCCTTCTCCCCAGGCCCAAACACTGTCATGGAGGTGAGGATGCTCCCAACAGGATGCTTCCTGTATTGGACCCCACACGTCCCCATCAGTTTAACAAGGAAAGCTGCCACCTGCAATGCCTTGCCATACAACCTGCTCACGTACACACCTTGGTCCAGCCCCCTACCCCAGACACTGTCATCTGGCAACATACGCCAGCGGTCACTGCCCTAGGACTCCTGTCCCGTTCTGTGCCAAGGGTTCAGAAGCCACAGAAGGCTATCTGAGACACAGTGGCCAACTGGAACATTTTCAAGGCACGTCCACAGCCAATCCTTCATCTGCAGAGTCTGAGCTGACTAGTCCCAGGGCACTCCTCCTCCCATTTCTCCTCCATGCAGCCCCACTGCCCCTTTCAACTGCTCATGGGCATTCCTGGCCTGTCTCGGCAGTTGGTCATCAGTCAGCAACCCACTCACATAGCCCAGCCTCTATAGAAGGTCCCCGGGGGATAAAACACCAGCCCCCAGCAGGCATGAAGACAGTTCCCACATCTGGGACGCTGGTGAAGGTACAAAGGACCACTGGAGTGTTCAAGAGAGGTAGCTGGCCCAGAATGACGCAGGGAGTCAGCCAAGCTCTTCCTGAGAGAGGGAAGGGGATTCTGAGGGCGGGAAGGTTGACCAGCACAGCCCTGGTGCATTCAGCCAACACTCAGATCACAGGGCCCCCTCCAGCTGGTGATGATGTTGCCGGGATTTCCCAACTCTATTCCTATTCATTGTCCTGTCCTCCCTCCTCCCTTCCCCCTTCTCTCCCTCAGGCCCCTGACCCCACCGGCCTGAAGTCTGGATTTAGAGCTCGGAGTGACAGCCTGCCTGGGGCTCTGTGGACTTGGTTTCGCATGTGGTCTCTCTCATGGACGCTAGCAACGGCTCTCCCCAGGATCCTCCCTGGATCCTCCCTCACGGGCTGAGGGTCTCCTGTCTGCTCTCATTACCTGGCTCCTCTTCAGTCTCACCAAATCCTTCTCAAAGCAGAGAAGAAATGTCCTGTCCACATTTCAGAATTTTAAATCAATTGTGATTTTTATGAGAATTTGAATTGGTACAGCACTTTTGTAATAACATTTTAGAAATATTTTAAATGTTAAACTATTTTCACCCTTTCACTTTAACCCAGTGTCCATGTTAATATATCCTTCTTATAAGAAAACCATGTTTGCCTAAAAATTCATATTCAGAGATGTTGATTTTATTGTAGTTATCATACAGCAAATGGGAAACAACTTATATGTCCACTAGGAAGAAAGAGTTTAATTAATTGTGGTGCATGTCTACTTTAGAATTATAGAAAGTGGTTTCAAAAGTGAGAAAGATCTATCTATCTATCTATCTATCTATCTACCGTTGTGGAAAGATCCTACATCCATTTTATAAAGTGATAAAAGAATATCAGTATGTATATCATTGTTCTTGTATATTAAATAAAAACAACATATTGTTATAGTTTATCTGTCAGTGAGAAGCCTAGAGTCAGCAGTAAAATAATATACAACACCGTTAATTGTGGTGACCTCTGAGGGGGCGGTGGGGGTGGTGGGCGTTGTTAAATGTGGAGGAGATTTGTAAAGGGGAAAATTGTGAATTATCTACATTTCTATAAGTTTTGCAATAAGAATATGTACAATACTACATTTTAAATAAAAAAAAATTAAACCTGACAAACAGAAATACTAGCCATGTCAGTTTAAGTAACTGCTAGCCATTGCAACAGAACAACCACGAATGGCTTGCCACAACACAAGTTTATTTTATGTGCAAATAAGTTCTGATGCAGTTTGCCAGGGGCTCTCCACTCTCACGGGACCCAGGAATCCAAGCTGCTTCCACCTTGTGATTCCGTCATCTCAAGATGAAGCTGCCATGTTTGCTAGTGAAAGCGGAGAGAAAGCTTGGAAATGGCACACTGGCTCCCACATGCCTGGATGTGACAAACAATGCTTCTGCTCCTATATTGGTATAAAGGAAATGTCACATGACCCATCCTAACTGCAAGGACTTTACTGTTCCCATGTGTCCAGGAAGGAGACAGAGACAAAATGTGTGTGAGTACTATACCCTCCCCCATAAACTGTTACATAGTAGGTGCTCAACAAAAACAACTGTGATTCTTTGGTATTACACTACCCTTCTCATTTCTAGGAGGAGTTTCTGAGAAGGCCAAATTTGCCGTGACATTCTCCAACTTTTTCCAGTGTCAAATATGTAACTGATGTTTTCAAATATACGATCACAACTAACTGCCCAAGAATCTTGAAAGTCTCGGCGAGAAGGCTTCCCTTTGCAATACCCTTTAATCCTTAGTAGGCTGAGCATTTTTCCTCCATTTGATTCCCGGTCAAAATGTTAACCTGTGAATTTCTGCTACCCTCCACAAGCCTGAACACCTCTCGAGTGCCTGTAGGCACAATAAAGGCCAGTATTTTCCCGTGGAGCAGGTAAACAGACAAGAAACAGAAGGCTGCTTAATTATTCCTCTTTCATTAGAGTTGACATGTTTTCAAGGAATCGTTTTTAGACTCCTGGAGGACTCCAGAAATTTAGGAATTCAGCCTCAGTAAGTAGATGTTTGTTCCACTGGGATTTCCCAAGGTTTTTCTCATCTAGTACTCATGAGGGATGGTTTGCTCTTTGACCATTTATCTGTGCATGTATTCAGAGGCGAATTCCAAAAGGACGCCCTGTGAAAGTCTGATTTCAGGTATCAAGGTGGTTCCAAATTCCTCTCACTTCAGGGTGACATCACACAAGAACCCTTAGATAATATGGAGAAACAGACTACTCAGCCCTTTCAGAAAACAATTAGAGAGTGTGTTGAAGACAACCGGAGTGGTAACCAGGTGTCTAAACGTCACTGTCCCCATGTGAATTTTTATATCAAAAGGATTGTTGATATCATATGGCTTCCTGGGTGAGAGACGGGACAGCCAGAGGACTTCTACTGTGAGAAGGAATGCTCCCTGTCAGGAGGTGAGCAGGGGATTCTGGGCTGTTCTGTGGGGACCAGTGAGGAGCTGATCAGCAGGCCCTATAGGTTCCGGAGTCAGACAGGACACATGGAAGTGACCCGGGGAAATGTGCTGTAATTCTGAAAGTGCTGGGGCTGGACAGAAATGAACACATCTTGCCAGTGTCAGCTCTCAGGGAACCCAGCGCACACCAGCCCCAAATGGTGTTTGATTCTCATTGTCGCGTTCTCCAGGCCTGCTTTATTACGCTGGCCTCGAGGTCCTTCTTTTTGTCACCTGAGAGACATGGTGCAGTGCTGAGAAGAAAAATGAAGTCGCTGTCAGGAGGTCAGCCTCGGGCTGGGAGAAGTGGGAACAGCATGGGCTCTAAAGGAATTCAGAACAGGGGTCGGGTTCTGCCCTGTTCCTCACTAGCCACGTGATCCTGGGAAATACCCAGGAAATACCCTGTTTTTATATCCCAATTCACACACCCTGTGAGCCTTGGATTCTTCATCTGTAAGCAGATGTGATAAGGACTGTCTAGTAGGACAGTTGGAGTGTATGCAACGCAGGTGAAGCACCTGACTCCGGGCCTGGTATAAATTAGAAGTTTAACAAATGGCGGATGGCTGTTATTTCCAATATTTTTTAACCCGAGGCCCTAACACTCCGGGATTTTGTTGTTGCTGTCGTTGTTCTCCAGGACTTACCAGAGAATATACAGCTCAATAGGACATGGAATAATTAGCCCCAAACAGAAGCTTCTTCCATAAAATTCAGTTAAGTATTTCCTCTCAGAGAACGCGCTTCAAAATTTGGGTGTGCAGGAGTTTCGCCCAGCCAGGTGCAGCTCGGAGCTCCTACAATCTGCGTCAAAAGACCAACTGCTTCTCTCTCTCCCAGCTGCTTTCCCACCCAAACCACCATTTTCATCCATTTTGTTACCATCCAAAATCTAGCCCGTGCTTACAATTGGTCAAATTGCACTTGAGATAACCTAGTTGGAATGCCTTTTTTAATGGAGTCAGCTCTGCCTCTCCCTGCCCGGCAGAAAAGCACCTGGCCAGGGGCTTCTGGGCCACCCTTCCTGGGAAATTCAGCCTTATCGCTCAGGAAACCCTTGCAGATGATGGGTGTCCATCACCTAGATCTTGGGCTGCGTTCAACAGCAGTGGGACAAAAGCAGACGACACCTTCCATTCCTGCCTGAGGTAGAGATTCCTCTCTGTTCATCCCCCATTCGAAAGAAACTGCTCAGAGTTGCTTTCCATTCCAGGCTTTTCTCCCACACTCTGAGAATCTGGCTCTGGGCCCACCCAACTTCATTAGAGTCAGCTCCTTCAGAAGGAACTGAAGTTTCCCAAAGCCCAAAATGCCCCAGCTCAGGGCACTGACACTCCACTACTCTCACCCGGAGCGCCACACCCTCACCCCTCTCTTACATTTCCTCTACATCTTACAGGACTTCTCACCACCTTAATTATATGACTGCAGGTCCTAGGCTCTACAGCCCTATGGGTAGGCGTGAGTCTGGCTTACCTTAGCATCCCCACTACTAACCCAGGGCCTCCCACAGAGCAGATGCTGAGTGAACGGAAAAGAAACGAGCCAGTGAAGAGGAAGAATTATTTATTCAGATTTAATTTCGCTTGCATTCTCAAAGAAGTCAAGGAAATCCTGGTTTGCATATTTGTTTAATTTTACAGAATAGATTGAGGTACAAGGCAAGAATCAACTATCTTTTGATTTCTTGAGTTATCTCATGTATGTTATTGCTAATTCGCTCACAATTTTAAGCAAATACTTTTTCCACTGCTATTATTATGTCACAATTCACAAAATGGAATGGATTTCCCAATCTGAATAAAAAACAAGACTCTTACTCCTAAACTATATAAACAGCACTATGTGTGACTACTGTCATTCATAAACCTGGATGCTGACGCTCATTCAACCATCCGTTAAAAGGAACATTTGAACAACTCCAACAGGAAACAAAGAATAATCTCAAAGTCATCCAACAGAACAGAAACCCACTACTAAGAATGCTGACTGCTCGCTTCAAAGAGTGAAGAATGGGCCTCACGTCACAGGAGGCAGTGGAAACTAAGGGATGGGGCCCCGGAAGGTGCACTGGCCCAAACCCCCTCCCACTGGCCCTGGCTGCAACTCGTGCTCAGACTCACTCTTCCCCCTCTCTCAAAGCCCACTCATGCAGGAGTGGGTAGGAAATGCGAGGTCCTCCACTGATCTTTACCATATGGTGCAGGACTTTCACATAGCTGGTTTCAATGAGGGCCCTTGGACCCCACAGGAACTCATAGCATGCAGGATCACTGCCGGGGACCTGCCGGTACTCCAGGTAGTTTTCCTGCACGAAATATTGGGTGAGCAGCTTCTTGGGATCCCCGAAGATACTGTCTTCCCTCCCCTCAAACACCTCTAACACACTCAGCTCCTCCCAGATTTTCTCCTCAGGGGCACAGTCGCCCTCTTTTGCGATTATGGCCAGGATGATTATCAGGAAGCCTGTCTTGGGCATGATCTGATTGTCACCCAGCAGGCCATCGTAGGAGAGGCCCAGGCAGGTGGCAAAGATGTACACGTGGCCGATGGGGTCCACTTCCATCAGCTCGATGCCAAAGACCAGCTGCAAGGAATCGGAAGCTTTGCTGAAGATCACAGGAAAGAAGTACTGCCAATTTCCGACGACACTCCCCAGCATTTCTGCCTTTGTGACCGGCTCCCTGGCTCGATACTTGAGGAGCAGAAAATGAACCAACTTGGCCACCTTCCTACTGAGTGCTGCTTGGAACTCAGACTCCAGGTCAGGGAAGGTGCTTGGCCCCTCCTCTTCTTGGTTGCTGGAGTCCTCATAGGATTGGCTCCAGAGAGGGTAGTTCATGGTAGTGGGGAGGCTGGAGGCTCCCTGAGGACTCTGGGGAGGATCTGGTGACTCGGCAGCAGGCACCTCCCCCAGGGTGACTTCAACTAGAGTAGAAGAGGAGGAGGCAGCCTCCTGCTCCTCAGTAGCAGGAGCCTGCGCACCCACCAGGCCCAGGGCCTCTCCTCGGGCCTCAAGGCCTTCTTCAGGCTTGCAGTGCTGACTCCTCTGCTCAAGAGGCATGATGACTCTGGTCAGGGCAACAGGCGGGAGTGTGGGCAGGAGCTGGGCAATGGAGACCCACTGGCCTGGGGAGAGAGGGAGCATGTGAGAGACCTCAGCTGAGTACTGAATGGAACCTTGGAGGCTCTAACAAAGGCTTACTTACAGATCTTCTCCTTCAGTGCTCCTCCGGGGGCCTCTGGTCCTCCAGGTCAGCCTGTCCCCTCAGAACCTGAAGGAGGAAGTGAGAGGGCACCTCAGGGTACATCCGGCCAGCGCATGCTGAGGCTGCAGGACTGAAAGTATTGAGGGTGAGGCCAGGCGCTCTGGAGTCCATGTGTTCTGGGGCAGGTGGGGCCCTTGGTTTGAATCCAAGGCAAACCTTCACCGTTGGCACTATCTGAGCCCCCTCTACTCTGTGACCTGAGGACACTGCCTCAGACCAAGTCCTCACTGCCTTGTTCCTGGAGCTCCTGATTCCTGGGAGAGGAATCCACGGGCCCCCAATGTGCAGACAGCAAACGCAGCCACGGATTCCCAGAACTGTCAGGAGGGTTGGCCAGACTCTGTGAGGTCCCCACTCTACTGGGGTGGAGGATCCCCTCTGTGCTCACTCAGGGCCCTCACCTTTCTCCTTATAGGACCTAATCCCTCCCTTCTGCTGGCCTGAGAATCTCTCATGTCAAGAACTCACATACCTGATATGGTACAGAAAAACATGAGGGGACCCACATCTGGCCATACATTCCCAGGTCCTCCCGGAAAGGACAACGAGAGATGTCCAAATTTATTGAAGTCCATGTACCCTGGGTGAGGAGACTGCTTGGTCCTCACCTCCACTCCTAGTAGGGTCTGAGAGCCTCCCTCTACTGCCCTGAGTGCAGTCCCCTCAGACCAAGGCTTCCCCTTCCCTGACATCAGTGATCCTAGGATAATGGAGGGACCTCAGCTGACAGCCCTGCCCAGGCTCTCTGAGGTAACAGCAGGAGCAGGGCAGATTTTTATGGGGCCCCCAGTCCGCATTCTGTCCCAGGGGTACCCTCAATCCTCCCTCAGTCTCTTCACCTGGATGCTTGGCAGATCCTAGGACCACTGCATCTGTCCACCACATAGGGGCCCCTTGGGGGTACACCTTGGGCCCTGCAGATCCTGGGATTCCTCCCTCTGCTGACCTGAAGTCCCACTCTTCAGACCACAGCCCTCAACTCTCTGGTCACCCTGAAGGCGCAATGAGCACAGAGCACATTTGGCCACTGTGCCCAGCATCCCCCAGCCCAAGGTTGCCACTGATCTGGACTCCAAGGTCCCCTCAGTCCTCCCTCTTCTTCCTCCCCATGACTCCTCGCAGGGCTGGGCCCCAACCCCCTGCTGAAGTGGGTCTGCATCCCTAGGATTCCCGTAGCCGAATGAAAAGGTGCCTCGGTTTGAGACAGGGGTACAGTGGGCCCCCTGTCCTGGCATGCTGGGTCCCCTCAGGACTCCACTGTCTTCCAGGAGGGCCTGGGCCCTTTCGCTGCCTCCCAACGGCCATACTCGCGATACCGAACCCCTTCCCTCCCTTAGCCGTAGATGTGAACCTCAGGACTCACGTGCCTGGCCGCCATTCCCGGAGCTTCCGTGACTTGATACCAGGGGCAAAGCCCGGATTCTGCCAGGATAGGGGTGGGGGTGGGGATGGGAATGGGGAATGGGGGATGGGGGTGGGGTTGGTGTTGGGGGACGGGAATGGTGGTGAGGGTGGTGGTTAGGCTGCCCTCAGTTCCCTCTCGGGGTCCTGACCTTGATTCCTGCCACAGCGTGGGCCCTGACCTCTTCTAACCAGCCCTGCCCTGGCCACATTAAGCTCTGTCCCCAGAGTTCCCCGTGGCTAAAGCGGCGGGGGTCGGCGGGGTGAGGTAGTGGCGACCCAGCCTGGAAGTCTTCCCCTGCGGGGTGGCCCAGGCCCGGCAGCAGAGGCAGCACTGGATTATTTGAGGCCCTCTGTCTGAGGTGAGGCCCGCCTCAGTCCTCCCTCAGCGTCTTACCTTGCCTCCTCACCGAGCCTGGGCCGGCTTCCCTCCGCCGACGTCAGGCCGTCGCTCGTTGCTCAGGGCGAGAATCTCGCGGTCTTCTGACCTCCAATGCGCAAGTCAGTGGCGTCACATCCTGGCAACGGTACTACCCTGGGTTCCGGGCAGGGGTGGAACTGGATTCTGCCTGGATGGGGATCGGATGGGGGTGGAGGTAAGCATGAAGATGGTGATGGGGCAAGGGGTAAGGATTGGGACGGGGGTCCTGAGGCTGTAGATCCTGGTGGGGTCGGGGGAGTTGGGGGTGGGTGGGCGGGGCCTTCGGTCATCCCTCAGGGTCCTGAAGTTGATGCCTGGCTGAGCCTGGACCGCCATCCTCTGCAGATTGCTTCTGCTCCCCTCAGACCAAGTCTCTGACTCTGAGTCCCCCTGAAGTGGCATTGGGGGAAGGGGTGTGGTCTGGGTGACATCACTGCCTGCGTTTACCAGGGCTGACAAGAGGGGCTGAGCTGGATTCTGTGGTCCCTCTATGGTGTGTGGGGTGGGGGGGCGGTGTGGACCCTCAGTCCTCACTCAGGAGGGTCGTCTTCGTCACCTCTGGCTGTTGGATGAAGTGATGGGCAGGAGATGCTCTGTTTCTGTCACCTGTGAGCATTTGCACAGCTGCACCCCTTGTAGAGAATGCCTGCGGGTCCCAGGCCAGGTGCTCCCTGCAGGGCGGGGCGGCAGCTCCCGCGGTTGTAGTGACCTCCTATTTCAGTCTTTGTGTTCTGTTGAAAGAATTTTTTTTTTTAAAAAATGTAATTCCTCTGCCACTATGGTGGTTTCAGGTTGTTATTAGCAGAACTCTGGAGTCATACTGCCTTAACCAACCAAATTTTCCTGGTGTCCTGCTATTACCTAGGGCTCTTGGCATCGTGTTTTCAGAGGCTGCCTCAGATTGTGCAAAGAAGTGAAGTGGAAAATTTCAAACTTTTATTCTACCCATTCTGTCATCTACCGTGTAGGCCGGCTACAAACCTCCCCAACATCCCTGCTGCTAACCCCCTCCAACCAACACTGCAAGTGTCAAACACAAGTACCAGCTCAACACAGCCTTGAGTCTCACCCTGGGCTTTCCCTGTTTTGTTGCGTAGATTTTGTTGCTGATACTGGTTTTTTATTTACTGTTTCCATTCTGTAATTTTCCAGGTTTGATTTGGGAAGCAGAGCACAGCAGCCCAAATTTGTTGTAATGGCGGCGGCTACAGGTAAGGCACTAAATTGTAAATAATTTAAGCTGAGTTTACATTTTTACAGTGTTGTGCTCCCCATGAATGAATATATTATACTCCTCTATGTAATTTCAAGGTTTTTTTTACCTGAATATGTCAGTATACTTCGACAGTTGTCTCTATAAAGACCTTATACATTTTTATTAGACTTCTTTTCAGGCAATTCATGAATTTTGTTGCTATTGCAAATGGCATATTGTCTATTAATTGTTGTAGTTAGTTATTGCTTTCGTGAGGTGAAGATTTTGATTTTGCTGTAGTAATCTGTTGCACACCTCGTTCTGAAGGCCGATGCACTTGAATATTCCACATACCTTTTCCTTTGAATTTTCAAGATCGATAATGGTATTATCACTAAACATTACATATTCTTCCAGTATTCATACCACTTACTCATTTTGGTACTTATAGCTCTTTGTGTCTCAATCCTGATTTCAATCGTAGAGATAATAGCCTACATCTACTTCTCGTTCCTGACGTGAATGATAATTATTCGAACGTTTTGCATTTAAGTATGTTTGCTGTTGATTTTAGGAAGTGCAATTTCTCTTTGAATATAGGTTAAATACTTTTTTTTTTTTTTTACCATGAACTCATATTAAATTTCTTTAAAAAGCTTTTTCTGTACCCGTTGACGCAATCAAATTTTTTTCTCCTCCATTTTGTATGTAAGGAATTACAATGAAACCGTTTTTTTTTTTTCCCCTAATGTTAAACCGTATGTTATTTCCTTGGGCAGAGCCTGTTTATTTAATATGCTAGTAATTTACGTAGGATATTTGCTGCTATGTAAGGGAGCTTACTTAATGTGTGCTTTTTTTCCCATCAAGGGTGGGATGTGGTCCTCATCTGGTTTTTGAATCCAGGAGGGCTAGTCTGGAAGAATGAATTGAACAATTGTAAATATTTTGTATGTTCTAGAAGAGATGAGATAAGATGGTGGTTAGTTTTCCCTGATCATTTGGTAGAATTGGCCTCCAATACTGCCTAACCTGGAATGTTTGAAGGTGGCTTGAGCTTTGAACATTGTACAGTTTCAGTTTTTATAGTTTAATTAAAGTTTTCTTTTTCTTTTTGGATCAGTTTGGTTACTGGTTTATTTTATTTCTACAAAGTGGTCAGTTTCATTTAGGATTTCACTTTTAATGGCATATTTATTATAAAAAAAGTTTTACTAGGGAAAGCCTTCACACATACAGAATAATAGGAACTAATGTAATGAACCCAGGATACTAGATACCCAGCATGAACAACTTTAAATACACAGCAAATCTGGTTCCAGTTAGACACTTGCCTACCTGCACATCAGCTTCTGGAATAACGTGGAGCGAATCTAAGGCATTAGACCATTTCATCTCGAAATAACTCAATATGCATTTTTAAAAGATAAGGACGTTTTATTAAACAGAATCCCAATAGTTTTCATATCTGAAAAATTATATAAATGATTATCAAATATTCAACTATTTTACATGCTTATCTGGCCGACTTATACTTTATAAAAAACATATTTCTTTGATGGAGTACCCAAATATGGTAACTTTCCCGCCACTTGCTTCACTGTAGTGGTTTCATACATGTATAATACAGCTAGGTTTGTGTGTGTGTGTAACATTCTACATTCTGTCCCATGATTCTCCAACTTCTTAAGTTACTTTTAGACTTTACATACATTAAGCTTCACTCTTTGTGCTGTAAAGATCTATGGGTTTTGACAAATGCCTCGTGCCGTTGTCTTAGTCCCTTTGGGCTTCCATAACAAAAATAGTGTAGACTGGGTGGCTTATAAACAACACAACTTTATTTCTCACATTCTAGAGGTTGGGAAGTCCAAGATCAAGGTGCTGGCAGATTTCATGTCTGATGGAGACCTGCTCCCTAGTTCATAGACAGTTGCCTTTCCCCTATGTCCTCACATGGAAGAAGGGGCAAGGGATCTCTGTGGGGTCTATTTTATAAAAACACTGATCCCATTCATGAGGACTCTGCTCTCATGAACTAGTCATTCTCCAAATACCCCACCTTCTACCTAATACCATCACCTTGGTATTTCAGCAGATGAAGTTTGTGGGAACACAAATATTCAGATGAAAGCAAGCATGCATCCACCATTACAGTATTACCATACTAGTTTCACTGCCCTGATAAATCCCCTGTGCTTGTCAGATAACCCCCTTGGCTGCCACTGATAGGTGTTTCATCTTTATAATTTTGCCTTTTCCTGAATGTCATATAAATAGACTCGCATACTATGTAGCCTTTTTAGACTGGTTTCTTTCACCTAGCATAATGAACTGAAGAGTCATGTATAACTTTGTGTGGCTCAGAACTTATTCCTTTTCATTGAGGAGTAGTAGTATCATTGTCTGGTTGTACCATAGTGCGTGTGTATATATATATCCATCCACCAAATGAAATACATTTTGGATGCTTCTATTTTTGGTGATTATGAAATAATCTTTTGTATACAATCGTATACAAATTTTTATGTAGACGTAAGTTTTCACGTCAATTGGGTAAATTGATTATGACTGCTGAATCTTATGCTGTGTTCAGTTTTTTAAGAAAACGCCAAATTGTCTTCCAAAGTGGCTGTACCATGTTGCATTTCCACCAGCAATGAATGAGAGTTTCTGTTGCTCCACATCTTCCCTGGCAATTGATCTTGGTTTTCTTTTCTTTTTTTTTTTTTTTTTTGCTTTTTTATGGATTTTGGACATTCTAATAGGTGTGTAGTGGTATCTCATTTTAGTACACAGTTATCTAATGAGAACGGATTCTCAGTACTTTTATTATGCTTATTTGCCATGTGTATATCTTCTTTTGTGAGGAGTGT